>NC_000005.10:17883578-18186608 GCF_000001405.40 Homo sapiens | reverse complement strand
TTGCCATAAAAAAGATAGGCAAATAAGGTCATGAATATTTTAATTACCTTGATCTAATCATTCCCCATTGTATACGTATATCAAAACATCACATTTTAGCACATAAATGTAAATAATTATAATTTGTCCGTCAAAGATAATATTAATAAAAAATAAATAAAATCACTAGATATGTTTAGATTGATTAAAAATACACAAATTATCTTCCAAAACATTTTTCATTTTCAAAAGCAATGAGCAAAAGTTTCCATTGCTTTGAATTCTCACCAGCCCTTTTTGTCTGAATTCTTAAGTCATTCTAGTATATGTGCATGGCATATACTTGTGTTTACATTTTTCTAGTAACAAGTGATGTAGAATAACTTTTTTATATGTTAGTTTTCCATCTGTTTCTCATCTTATAAAATGTGTGTGTTCAAGTCCTCTGCTCATTTTTAAAAATGGGGCATTTCTCTAATTATTACTTAGTTGTGATCATTTTATTTGTATTATGAATACAAGTCTCCAATATTAAAACTTGTTTTAAAATATTTCCCTGAGTATTTTACTGTTATATTCATTTTCTTAACAATCCTTCTGAAAGTATGGAAGGTCAGAATTTTGTTGAAGTACAAATTGGCATTACAATTTCCTTTATGTTTCACTTTAGTGACCTATCTGAGAAATCTTCGGCTAATCAAGGGTTGCAAAGATTTTCTCATATATTTCTTTACATAAGTTTTATAGCTTTAGATTCCATAATATATTTTGCTTAGATGTATAATATATTTTCAGTTAATTTTTTATATAACACATGACTATGAATCAGTGTTCTTTTTTTGAAAATATATATCTAGTTTTCAGAAATTATTTATTGAAAATATTATACTTCCTTCTTGAACTACATTGGCAACTTGTCAAAAAACAATTGACAAATATCTGTGGGTATATTCCTAGAATCTACATGCTGTTGCATGAATCTCAATCTATCATTAGCCAATACCACATTTTTTTTTTTTTTTTTTTTTGAGACGGAGTCTCGCTCTGTCACCCAGGCTGGAGTGCAGTGGCGGGATCTCGGCTCACTGCAAGCTCCGCCTCCCGGGTTCACGCCATTCTCCTGCCTCAGCCTCCCAAGTAGCTGGGACTACAGGCGCCCGCCACTACGCCCGGCTAATTTTTTTGTATTTTTAGTAGAGACGGGGTTTCACCGTTTTAGCCGGGATGGTCTCGATCTCCTGACCTCGTGATCCGCCCGCCTCGGCCTCCCAAAGTGCTGGGATTACAGGCGTGAGCCACCGCGCCCGGCCCACATATTTTGATTATTGAAGCTTTTCAAACTCTGAATTTAAAAAGTATGTATCTTCCAAATATGTTCATTTTCACACTTTATTTGTCCATACAGCTCCTTTGCTTTTCATATACATTTAGAATTAATTTCTGAAATTCTACACAAACAAAAATAGTCTGCTGATTTGGGGTTTGGAAGGTATTGAATCTCTACATAAATATAGGAAGTTGGCTTCTTAAGTGAAATTGAGTCTTCTAATCCATAAACACAATATCTACCTCTATATATGTCTCCATTTTTGTAGGTCTGCTTCACTGTCTCATCAATATTTTCTCGTTTTCAACATACACATTCTGCATACGATATGTTAGATTTTTCTCTAAGTATTACATATTTATTGATGCCATTATTGATGGCATTATTTTAAAATATGAATTTGCTATCATTGATTGTTAACCTATAGGAATAAAATTTATTTTTTTAAATTTTCCATTTGTACCCTCCAATCATGCTAGCTTATTCTAATTCTAGAACTCTCAAATAAATACTTTGGTACATTTCATATAAACTAACATATACCTATAACATACAAAATAAGACATTTCTGCAGCCAACAAACATATGAGAAAAAGCTCAACATGAATGAATATCAAAGAAATGCAAATCAAAACCACAATGAGATACCATCTCATGCCAGTTAGAATGGCGATTATTGAAAAGTCAGGAAACAAAAGATACTAGTGAGGCTGTGGAGAAATAGGAACACTTTCACACTGTTGGTGGGAAAGTAAATTAGTTCAACTACTGTGGAAGACAGTATGGTGATTCCCTAATGATCTAGAACCAGAAATACCATTTGACCCAGCAATCCCATTACTGGGTATATACCCAAAGGAATATAAATTATTCTACTGTAAAGACACATGCACACATATATTTATTGCAGCACTACTTACAATAGCAAAGACATGAAACCAATCCAAATGCCCATCAATCATAGACCAGATAAAGAAAATGTGGCACATATATACCATGGAATGCTAGGCAGCCATAAAAAGGAATGAGACCATGTCCTTTGCAGGGACATGGAAAAACCTGGAAGCCATCATCTTTAGCAAACCAACACAGGAACAGAAAACCAAATACCACATGTTCTCACTTGTAAGTGGGAATTGAACAATTAAAACACATGGACACACAGAGAGAAACAACACACACCAGGGACTGTTGGGGGGGCGGGGGGTGAGGAGAGGGAACTTAGAGGATGGGTCAATAGGTGCAGCAAACTACCATGGCACGTGTATACCTATGCAACAAAGCTGCACATTCTGCACATGTATCCCATTTTTTTTTGTAGAAGAAATTTTAAAAAGACTATTTCTGTGTTTCCAGTATACATGAAAATTTCTTTATCTTGCTTTATTGCAATGACTAGCTCCTTCACTGTGATGCTGAATAGCCATAGTGAGAGTAAACTTACTTGCAGCACTTCTTTTAAAATTTCATTTTGGGAAGACAGCTGTAAAGAAATTATTTCAGCATTTGTTTTTCTTTTTTAAAAAGTCTGTATTTAGACCTCATATTTGAAAAAAAAAATCACAGTATTCTAGGTTGACAATTTTTTTTTCACTACTTTGAAGAAATCACACTTCATTTTCTTGGCTGGTACAGTTTCTGATAGAAATCTGATGTAGAATATATTTCATATTTTTAATGCAATGTGACATTTCTCTCTGCTTACATTTGCAAAAGGATATTACCCTTCTGCCAGGCTGATATCATTGGGAGATTGATTCAATCTATTCAATAGTGGAGCTAGATTTGGTTTTGTTGTTGCTCTCATTATTTTCAGTAAACTATAAGTTTTAAACTCTTCTACTGTAAACTGCCACTACCTAGTTTTTTATATTGATGCAGAATCATGGGCTCAAGAATCAGATAAATTTTGCTTCAACTTGTTTTTCCAAATTAATGGATCTCTTCCCAGTGTGTGTATGAAAATGTTTGATGCTCCTTTCCCAGTGGCTTAAGGGTTTTGTTTCATGTGAAAGATTTCGGGCAGGAGAATCAGAGTTTCCTGACTCTTCTGCAGTGGCAGCCAATGACCATCTGTTTGCCTCATTCACCTATAGATGAAGTGATCTGTCTACAGTTACTTACCTTGCTCCCAGTCTCTCTTGAGAACATCTCACTGAGGTTTGTTTAAAAAAACTTACAAGCAATTGTAGTATCTTCTTGTATCTGGGCTTTCAGTTACTCTAAACAGATATATTAATATTTGCTGTAATGGGTTGAATGGTGGTGGCTGAAAACATATCCAAATCCTAACTTCCAGGACCTGTGAATGTGACATTATTTAGAAAAAGGGGTTTTAGCAGATATAAATAAGTTATGAGTATTTATATGAAGATCATCTTAGATTTTCTGAATGGGTCTTTAAGACAGATGTCCTTGTAAGAGAAATGCTGAAAGAATTTAGGATGGACAAAAGAAAAGAAGACATGAACACACAGAGAAAGTAACTGAAGACAGAGACAAAGCTTGGAATAGTGCAGTTAGAGTCAAGAAATGCCTGGAACCTACCAGAAGTTAGGAGAGAGACATAGAACATTCCTCCTCAGACCCTCATGAAACCAACCCTGCTGATGCCTTGATTTCACACTTCAGATCCCCAGAACTCAAGAAAAAAAGTTTTACGTTTTAAGCCACTCATTGTATAGTATATTATTACAATAGCCTTAGGAAACTAGTACACTTGCCCACATTTGGCCTTTAGGAATTCACAATTATTTAAGCTGATTTCTTTTCACATGCTTCAATGGAGGCCACCTCTTTTCCTTGTACTCTGCTAAATGTACCGTCTCACCTAAGAGAGGCTTGTCACTATTTGAAATTCTGTTTACTTGGTTGATTTTTAACATCAATTCTTTGATGGATCAAAGGCAAGTTATGATTTTAACAGCTTATCTGCAATTTTCTCTTTATTTGAATGGAAGTGTTCTTCGTTTAAAAGAGGATATTGATATAACACATCCTATGAGCAATGCCTCTTTTAATGATATCTCCATGAATAATCTGTAAAATACTCTTCAGCCAAAGAGAATAGCCATGATAGATTGTAGGTATGAATGGAAATGAATAAAAAATTAGAATATTTTATTATGCCTTCTACACTGTAAATCCAAGTACACCAAACTTGAGAGGAAAGAAAGTAGATGATGTGGGCTGCTCTCAGAAGAAACCCTGAATGGTGGCTGTGAGCAAGTGGCTGCCTTTAATACAGACATGTCCTTCACTTATGGACTGCAAATAGTGAATTTATTACTTTGTATTCTATTGCACTGCCTCTCATTAAGTTGGAATTTATTATAAGATAAAAACTAAATACAAAATAAACAATACAAGCTAGTAGGTAACATTTCTACCAGTGAAATTGAATTCCTAGTATCCCCTTTCTGTAACTGACAAAACCAAGTGATCTCTGGGCTGTGTGAGCAGCCTCCAGGGTGTATAGGCTGGAAAGCTGAGCTCTCAGGAGAGGAGCCACATAGCCAGTGACTTCAATAGCCTTTAGTGTCGTGAAAGCACTGGACTCCCAGAAGAGCCTCTGGTAATGAGTCCTACAGTACAGTACTCAAAATGGATTTCACTTCTTCACAGAAACAGAAAGATGTGAAATAATTAGACCACAAAAATACCTTTGCCATTATTTATAGATATTAAGAACAATGCTGAAGTCAAGCAAGTAAATAAATAGATTATGATTCTCTGCCTAACTGTTTAGAATCCTCTTAACCTTGTGGCTAACAGTGTAACTTGTATCTGTATGTCATCTTTGGCCATATTTGTATACTTGTATAAAAAAATCAGCAGATGTATCACAGACTGCCTGCAGGGGCATCAATTTTCTTTCAAAATAAGTTTTAGTCTATCTCCTATTTCCCAAGATCAACTTAAAAATTAGATTTAAACAGTGAGAAATGGAAATACAAAAATAATTATTTGAAATTAATATGTGCTGGTTGTCTCCATAAAAAGTAATCAAATTTAATAAATTTTTTTATGAAAATGAGGACTTGAATATTAGTCACTTGGGAGCATCAAAAAGCACACTTTTTTCACTATTAAAAACATTTAAATATTCCAAAAATTAGAATTCATTTCAGGAAAAGTTATGTAAAGGCACAAATGAATTTTATTACTGGGGGATAAAATAAATTACCAGAGAATATTAAAATTTTCTCTTTTGTTATATAAGTTAAATAAGCAAAGCACCAACAAAATCTGAGCTATAACCTAGGGCAAACACAAGGCATTTGAATACTGGGTCAATGAGCTTAGTGGGATATACAAAATACTGCACTGCATTTTACACTTGAGCAAATTGAAGGCAGCACTCTAATACAGTCATCAGCTACGTGTCTTTGTAAGATTTTTCTCACTTCCTCTTCTATTTTAATTGTTTTTCTTTTTTCCCTTAAATGACATCCACAGACATTGCTTGTATCATCATTATAACCAAAATTCAAAATAAATCCGGGCTCACAGACTTTAGAACCAATCTTGGTCAGAGTAAACAGAGGTGGTAAGGTAGCAAAAATAGTCATCTTGTAGGTCTTACACCTAAGAATAGAGATGATCTAGGCTGAATTATAAGGTTTCATTGTGTTGCTTCAAACTCTCCTTTTAATACTTGTTTTCTTCCCCCGTCACCTCTCATCCCTGGCCCAATCTAGCACTCTGATGTTAAACCATTTCACATTTAAATACCTTTCATAGTCTTTATTAATATCAAGTGACTCTCAATAAAACAGGTTGAAAAAGATACTTCATTTCTTAATTGTAGTAATAAGTATTTGATTATAAAGATGTAAGCATGAAATTGTACTATAATAATTTAATATACAAATAAAAAATCTCACTTTTAAAATTTCAGCAATTGGAAGTTTTGAAAATAAGAGCCATATAGATGTAATGAATTTGTTACCTTATATCACCTACATTTATTCCTCAACTTACAAAAGCAATCTTGTTCTCTCTTTTACAAAGTATCTTCTCATATGACAAAGAATAAAATATCACCAAGACCCAGATGTTCTTTCAAGTGTTTCAAGACGTTAATGGAAATATGACTTACTTGCCTGTCTTAAGTCATATAATTATGTTAGATAATAGAAGTATTCCAGCTAAAAGCATTTAAATGGAGCAGAAGCTGCTTTTTTCATGTGTCATTTGAACATATAAACTATTTCAGAAAAATGCTAATCGGCTCTCCTCTCATACTTACTGCCAAACACATTCACAATGATTCTTTAGGTTTTTGGGTAAAGTCAATTTCTCAGAGATAGAGGTAGGTTTCTTGACACTATAATTTTCTCAGTAGTACAATTAAGAGAAATGGTTGATAACAAAGATTTTTCTAGAGTGACCGGAAAAACAGAGAGATGTCAGATTGATGCTGTGGAATATTGGCTGAGAAAGTGAAACATGGTCATGTGTACTTTGAGGGTGAACTTTAACTAACAGGAAATATTGGCAAGCCCCTACATCATGGTTCTGTTTCAGGGAAATGGATGTGCCATCTGCAAGGCTAAACTGAAACGACAAGCCTTTGAGGCAGAGAGAGTAAATGTTCAATCCATTTGGCAGATAATGCAGGTCATGGATAGGTTTATTTAGCTCCAGTTTCACATAAACAATACACGAACAGAAGCAATGAACCACTGCTAAATTCAATAGGAAATTCCATTTGAGCTTATTTCTATACTCAGTCTTCAAATGGTCACCATTCTCTCACTCCAGCTCTTTGTCACGTTGGTTTCTACCAAGGCTGCCTATGTATTTTGGTAATTTAGTTAGCAGAATCTATTTTAGTGATATATATTTTCATTCATAGAATAACCTGAAGCTTCAGCATTGTAAAACATAATGAATTTTATATATATATATATATATATATATATACTATAGGCGTATGTATATGGTCATATACATATGTATATATTGTGTACGTGTGTGTATATATATAATTCATTATATATATATGAAGTATTATGTAAAGATAAAAATACAAAGAATGCTTTTTATGTTTTTGGGAAAAAAATAGTCAACGTATATCCTATCACGGTAAAAATGTACTTTCCTAACATTTCATGGCCATGCGCACATAGCAAACTTAAATAGACCCTCAATGCCCTCAGCAACTAATCATCCATAGACAGCAGCCATGCATGTCTTCTACCTTTGATCCTTAAGTAAAATTTGACTTTGCATTGGTTAGTGTAATGAAATACTAGGTTCCAGTTCTGCTTGACTTCTTGTATCTATTTTACAGATTTTCAAGCTATTCTGGAGAGCAAAGGGATATTTTCCTTTTCAATTTTGATGAAAAAATCTGAACTGTATTTCACCTTCATTTTCTTCGTGAAGGTCAGAGAAAAATATGATAGAGTATTAAAGTTTAAGTTCTTCTCCCAGTCTCTTGTGACCCAAAGCAATAAATTCACTTTAAGATCTTAACTAAAATTGTTTTGTCTCTATGTACCAGAATACTTTAAATAGATTATAAGAAAGCAATATCTGATAGAGTACAAAAGGCTTTGTTTACCTCTACTGAAATGCAAAAATTCAAATAGTGTTGCTCAGTTTCCCTTTTATTTTGACAAGCTATTTTGAAAGAGGTTACTTCCCTTTTCCTGTAATTATTTCATTTTGTCTTTCCTTTAATATGGAGTATTATCAAATAATAAGACACAAACTCCTCAATTTATTGCTTATCCATTCTGCCTAATTTTAGCAGCAAAATCAATAATGTGTAGGTATAATCACCTCACACACACACACGCACACACTGTTTTGTATTATGTAATGTTTTGTATCATATTGTATAAATTACATGCATTATACTTTGATTCAATGTGAAATCAGTAAAATGGTCTTTTGAGAATGCTGCTATGGATCTATATATGAGAGAAATGGGTATATCCAGCTACTCTTTACATTTTTACCTATCAGAAAACAATGATCCAAATATAATTAATATAATTGATTCTGCATTGCTCCAGGTTAAATTCATCTTTTGGTTCCATTATTCTCTTATGGTGTGTCCTCAGCTGATTGACTGTCTCAGACTCTTGGTTACATCATACAGATCCCCAGCCCTCCACCAGGACTAAATGACTTATTCCCCACATCCAGGGAATGCTGCAGCAGATTGTCCTCAACTGTCGTCTTCTCCAGGACTTGTCCTCTATTGAAGAGGGCTCTCGTGTCCAAGTTAATATGCCCCATCCAGGAGGCAACCCACATGTAATGACTGGCTAATGTGAGGGTATAAAACCGTGCTACCCTCACCCAAACTCCAGAGAACTCTGAAGAGAGATTGATTCTAGTTTCAGAGCTCCCCATGAGTAATCTGGAGCTTTTTTTGTGATGACATCAAAGTCCAAATTCCCCTTC
The DNA here is from genome assembly GCF_000001405.40 of Homo sapiens. Taxonomy (NCBI): domain Eukaryota; kingdom Metazoa; phylum Chordata; class Mammalia; order Primates; family Hominidae; genus Homo; species Homo sapiens. Next base: position 18,177,880 of record NC_000005.10, on the reverse strand, counting down.
TGCCACACTCTACTTTCTTCCCTTCCCTCAAGGAGTGTTGACACTGAGAATACTGCTAAGTAGGTTTTCTGCACACTAAGGTACATCTCAAGGGGACCTGAGCTGCCAGGATTTATATCAGGATGGGTTCAAGAAAGCAGATGTTAAAATGAGACACTGGAGCTGGATTATCCACTGCTCAGTTAGTGATGAGGACATCACCACTAGCTAAAGATAAAATAACAGCACTTAGTCTAAGAGCTCCAATAAGCAGACCTTCTCAAATTAGGCAAGTCTACTATGCTGAGGTTAACACTGGGACAGAAAAGATTGTATCCTGATACAAGGGACAATGACATATGGATTAATGTACTTGAAAATCTCTCATCCCATAATTTCATCCTGTTGAAGGATAATGAGTGCTCCTCTTCTCTGAGGATGATGCAGAGGACCTTGTCTTGCAATAAAACAAGAGTCTCCTCAGTATCTGCTCACACATTTCTCCTTGTGGTTATGACACACCAAGGATTAGGAAGCACTGGACCTACCTGTAGAGAAAAGCAACTATACTCAGAAGGAGCTGTAGGATCAAAACAATATGTGCTAGCAGGAGAATGGCAATGTTTGGGGGGCTGGATCGAGAGGTTGCTAAATCAGGAAGGTGTGGAAAATTGTTCAAGGGAGAGTTTATCCGGGGATATAAAATCTCCTGGCAAGGACTTTGAGAAATGAAGTAAATATGCTATTAGGACAGATCAGAGAAGCTTGGATAAAAGGATGACATACACAAATGAAGAATAAGTGTCTGAGTTGTTACGGCAGACAGTAGAAGACAGGGGTCAAAAGATCCAGAGAAGTACAAATTATAGAGATTTTATTCTATATAAGGCCAGGAAATCTACTAGGTGACTATAGTCCCTAGGATGGGCCACAGGTTATTTTATTTACCAAAGCAATAAGGAATTCACTAGTGAGTTGGCACCAGCACCACTGGGAAACTTAGTGTGGTGGTCACCTATAGGACAGGTGTGACCAGGGGAGATAATGTAGATAAATGAGCACCCCAACCATAGCAACCAGGAAGATAAAAGATAACTAGGAGGCTAATGGAAGTTGCTTCTGAAAAAAAAAGTTACAAACACTTGCCCAATTTCTGGATCTGGAGCAATTTTTAGACCTAAAATCCATTATGTGAGGGAGATGCTATGTATCCAGGCAGAAAGATCCTGCAACTCCCGAAGAAGTACATATGCCACTAATGCCCCAGTCTTTTCCCAAAGGTACCTATGGTCACATACTTGGATAATAGTACAGAAAGGGAAAGAAAATATTCAGATATTTTAAGGACTATTGGACATGTTCTTGAGTTGCTATAGATTCTCTTGGATCTAAAGTGTCACCATGAACTCCCTGTTAGAGTGAACAAGTAATTAATAAAGTCTTAATGCAAATCCAGCTCAGTGTGGTCTACTGGGCTGATGGGTAAAGTCAGTGGTCACTTCTCTCACTGCCAATGGATTGTTGGAATGGGTTTACTGGGGAGTTGGCAGAATTCCCATATTGGCTTATGGCCAGTAGGGTATGAGTTTCTTATTAGAAAAAAGCTAAATTAAAGCCCCACACTCTGAGAAAGAGAGTAAATAAAGTCAGTAACACATCCCACTCACTGGAGTAGCAGATATTAGCAACAACCTGTATTAGTTATCTATTTCCCCACTGCAAACTTTTGTACCATTATGTCTTCCTGGAAAATCACATTTCTTCCATTTCTCCTCATAAAGTACTACTAATGTCTCAAACTTAGTACATTCCTCACTTCTTCCAAAAGCTGTGAAACACTGTGACCCACTTATAAAGCTATCATATACCTTTACTCTGTGGTACTCACCTTTCACACATGTGTTTGTTTGATTAATATACACTCTTATATACTAGAATACAAGTTTCATCATGTCTATATTTCAGAAGCTGGAAATCTCCCTATAATTCTAATAAAGAGAATTTACATTGTTGTATAATTTGATATATTTTATAGAAAAAAAGATGCTATTGTACACCAAAAACTTGTAGATTTCATAGTACTTTTCTTTTCTGTTCTGTTTTTTTTTTTTTTTTTTTTTTTTTGAGACAGAATTTCAATCTTGTCACCCCGGCTGGAGTGCAATGGCATGATCTTGGCTCACTGCAACCTCCACCTCCTGGGTTCAAGCCATTCTCCTGCCTCAGCCTCCCGAGTAGCTGGGATTACAGGTGCCCACCACCATGCCTGGCTAATTTTTGTATTTTTAGTAGAGACAGGGTTTCACCATGTTGGCCAGGCTGGTCTCCAACTCCTGACCTCAGGTGATCCACTCACCACAGCCTTCCAAACTGTTGGGATTACAGGCATGAGCCACCACACCCAGCTCATAGTACTTTCTTAGGAGAAAAAAAATTTGTTACAATATCCATCTTTGAAAGAGAAAAGAAAAGTGGGCTTTAAACTGCTCAAGAACTAATACTACCCTTGAGAAAATTAAATAAAGGTAAAATTAAATATTATATAAAATCTTATAATGGAAATCTACATATGTATCTGAATGGATAAATGAAATATAATATACTTAATATTCTAGTGGAAAATGATGTGAACTTCCATAAGAGTGCAAAAAGAAGTGTGTAACTCTGCTTTAGCCCTGGGTGTTGGCCCAGGAAGAGTTTTGAAAAGAAAACAACTGAGTTTTTAAGGATGACAGAGGTTTTACCCAGAAAATACAAAGGGAAGAGCAGAATAAGTATCATTTATTTAGCACAGAATTTTAATTGCTTTAAATACATAATCATATTTATCAGACAAAAGTCTGTAAGTGAAGTTCTAAACTCCTACTTTATAGAGAAAGTAGGGAGTGTTTTAATATTTATTATTATGCAATAGGTACAATGTCAGCTTTATGTATGTTCTTGTTTAACACTCAATGCAAGAATGTAGATTATATTATGCCATTTTACATTTAAAAAAGCACAAGTTAAAGAGAATATTAATTTGCTTAAAGTCACAGACCAAAAATAATAGTAGAGACAGAATTTGAACCCAAACCTGTTTATTCTTAAAGTTTATTTCTGCTCCACTAATGTGGGAAAAGTCCCTTCAAGTTCAGAAAAAAATCACCACGTGAATTTAAGTAGTTATAAACAAGTTTGGCAGAACATACAATTTGTATTGAACATACATTATTCTACCTGCTGTATACAAGAGTCTTTGTATAAACAAAACGTTTTCTAAAGGGGTCCATAGAAATTGGCTATATAGTATTGCTTGGAAAAATATACATTATAATGGGAAAATGATGAAAAAATAGATTATTTAAAGAGTCTTTCTACATTTCACTTTGTATAAGTCTTCAATTATGAAGGTCATAGAAATAGGAGGTAATAAAAATGAAATGGAGAGAAAGATTATAAATAGATTCATATAAGAAAATTATCCACATATTTTTCTGAAATATATTGAAGTTATTTTAATGTCTTTGTTTTTATATAATGCATAAAATCTTTTAAAGAGTAATGTGCATAATAATGTATCCAGTAAATTGTGTTACTTTTAAAGAATATTTTTAATTTTAAATGTTCATTAACATTACAAGAGTTTATCTTGTCAGAGTCATTGATAATGAAGCCCATTGTCTTATTCTAATCCAAGCAGTTAAAATGCAGGGTGAATGAAATAACCTAATACTTAAGAACCCAGGATCTGGAATCCTATAATGATTTATTTATGAGCCATCTGGCTGTATAAACATGATAGTATGGTCAAATATGCTTTATATACTTGGAAAGAATTATTCAAAAAGTAATAATTAGATTTTATAAGTGAAATCTCAAGGCAAACTAAAAGATTTAGGTAAAAGACTTTTCTTACAAGGAAAAGAATTGTATAAAAATATATTATCTATAATAGAATGCCATTTATGTATATATAATAGAATATTATCCTATTCTGTGTCTCAGTTTCTCTACTTCTCTCTCTACCACAAACACACACACACATTACACAAATTTACACCTTAGCAAGGGAGACTTACAATATTATATCTAGGAGATTATGAATGCAAACAGACACAGTGAGTATGACTTTCACATCCTGGGGTCATAAAGGATGACAGGGTAACCCAAGGAAGTATTGCCTTCCATTTATTTTATTACCACCATTAATCAATTTTTACCTCCCCATCTGTCACACGTCTTTGGAGGATGTGCACAAATGGATGTTATACGTAGGAGGTGGTGGAGAATGGTATAAAACCATTTCTGTCTCTAAGGCACAAATTATTATTTTAAGTACTGCTTATATGAGAGTACGATAAATTTTGCCATGTGTTGCTATCTAAGGACCAATTTAAATTTGAAGTAATATATGCTATTACATTTTCCTCTAAAACAACATTCACACACATATGTAATTATTTTAACTTTTTTTTTTCCTTTTGAACTCACTTTTCATTTATTTACTTTCAAATTTGGGTCCTTGCAGATAGGAAGCTAGTAATAAAACAGCGAAGCTATGCATTTTTATTATTTATATCCAAGGCATTCTAATTTTCTTCTAAGTCATGTTTCAAATTCTTACCAACACTTTTTAAAAGAAGTAGAAGGCATATAAATTATAACAAGCTCAAAGTCTTTTTCATAATAAAAAAATGACACTCTCGACTACAGCCAGAAATGAAAACGGAAATTATTCCATAAGTTGTATTCAATTCATAACCCAGGGCAACTAAAATTAAAAGCAAAATTTGAACCAACTTGAGGACATTATGGATACAAATGTGCTAAGTTGGAATTGTATGATATCATCCCATACCGTATCATTACATTGGTTGTTTGCTGCACAATTTATGATGGCATTCACATTTACTATAGTTTAAATGGTGTCTCCAACCACCATCGAGTTGTGTAACATGGCAGCCTTGACATTTATATGTTAGGATGTCAATTGTATCTACAACAATGAAAGATAAAACTTATTAAAGTCCATGGAAATTTCAGACACTTGGACTTCGTACAATAACAATTACAAATACCATTTATATTTGTTGTCATATTAATAACCTATCTTTCATTGTTACACAAATGAATAATTTTATCATCAATTGAATAATGTAAACTCAGATAATCTGCACAACTAAACAAATATATATGGAGAAAATAAATTTTGATTCACATCTATGGGGGGAAAATGGTTTTTATACCCAAGAAGCACTTGGAGGAAAAAAGGACTCAAATATTTGCAAGTATAAAATCATGGAACCAACTTAAATGCCCATCAATCAATAAGAGGATAAAAAACTGTGGTATATAGATGGAATACTACTCAGCCCTAAAAAGGAACAAATTAAAGGCATTTGCAGTGACCTGTATAAGATTGGAGACTATTATTCTAAGTGAAGTAACTCAGGAATGAAAAACCAAACATTTTATGTTCTCACTGATATGTGGGAGCTAAGCTATGCAGACACAAATGCATAAGAATGAGATGACGGACTCTGGGGACATGGGGGTAAGAATGGGAGGGGATGAGGGATAAAAGACTACACATAGAGTGCAGTGTATACTGCTCCGGTGATGGGTGCACCAAAATCTCACAAATCACCACTAAAGAACTTACTGATGTAACCAAACACTACCTGTACCCCAATAACCTATTGAAAAAAATATTTGCAAGTATTTAGCATGTTCCTAAAACACTCTTATGGTTTAAATATTTTATATGAATACACATATATGCAATTCATATCTAACAATGAATTATACAGGATGTAATGCAGAAATGTACCAGTAATATGCTATTTTTGAAGTTATTTTCTCTTTTTTGGAGAAAAGACATACACATTTATCTAACATGTATATAAAGGAGTCTTGAGAATGAAAGAATGAAGACCCAACTGCTCAATGAGTTACAGAAACTCGTTTTTGTTTTTTTTTCTCAACTTCTATCTTAGATTCCGCAAATACATGTGAAGATTTGTTAACTGGGTATATTGCGTAATGCTGAAGTTTGGGATACAAATAGTCACTCAAGTACTGAGCAAGGTACCCAACATTTAGATTTTTAGCCCTTGACCCCCTCCCTCCCTTCCCCCTCCAGTAGTCTCCAGGGCCTATTTAGATTTTTAGCCCTTGCCCCCTCTCCCTTCCTTCCCCCTCTGGTAGTAGCCAGGGTCTATTGTTTCCATCTTTATGTCCATGAGTACCCAATGTATAGCTCTCACTTGTAAGTAAGAACATGATGTATTCAGTGTTTGTGTTTCTGCATTAATTCACTTGGAGTAATGACCTTCAGCTGCATCCACGTTGCTGCAAAGGACATAATTTCATTCTCCTTTATGGCTGTGTAGTATTCCATGGTGTCTATGTGCCACATTTTCTCTATCCAATCCACCATTGATGGGCACCTAGGTTGATTCTATTTCTTTGCTATTATGAATAGTGCTACAATGAAAATATGAGTCCATGTGTCTTTTTGGTAGAACAATTTGTTTTCTTTTGATAAGTAAGCAGTAATAGGATTGTTGGGCTGAATGAGTTCTAAGATCTTTGAGAAATCTCCAAACTGCTTTCCACAATATCTGAACTAATTTATGTTCCCACCAACAATGTATAAGTATTTCCTTTTCTCTATAGTCTCACCAACATCTGTTGTTCTTTGATTTATTAATAATAGTTATTTTGACTGGTGTGAAATGATATCTCATTGTGGTTTTGATGTATCTCTTTTATGATAAGTTATGTGGAGCTTTTTCTATGTTTGTTGGCTGCTTGTATGTCTTATTTTGAGAAGTGTCTGTTCATGTCTTTTCCCTACTTTTTTATTAGGGTTATTTGCTTTCTACTTGATTATTTCTTTAAGCTCCTCATAGATTCTGCTGGTAAGAACTGCCTTCTTTAGTATGTCAGTTGCATATTTTACTTCCAGAATTCCTGCTTGATTCCTTTTAATTATTTCAATATTTTTATTAAATGTATCGAATATGCTTCTAAATTCCTTCTCTGTGTTATCTTGAATTTCGTTGAGTTTCCATTTTGAATTCAGTCTGAAAGGTCGCATGTCTATGTCTCTCCAGCATTGTTCACTGGTTCCTTATTTGGTTTGTTTGGTGAGGTCAAGTTTTCCTGAATGGTCTTAATGCTTGTGGATGTTTCTTGGTGCCTGGGCATTGAAGAGTTAGGCATTTATTGTCTTTGCAGTTTAGGCTTATTTGTACACATCCTTTTTGGGAAGACTTTCCAAGTATTTGAAGCGACTTAGGTGTTATGATTTAAGTTTTGGTCACTACAGACATATCTGCATTAGGGGGGACTCTGAGCCCAATAATGTTGTGGTTCTTTTAGATTCATAGAGTTACCACTTTGGTGGTTTTGAATAAGATCTGGGAGAATTCTCTAGATTACCAGATGAAGACTCTTGTTCTTTTCTTTCAGTTTCTCCTGAGAAAACAGAATTTTGCTCTCTGTGCTAAGCTTCCTGGAGCTGGGAGAGTGGTGACACAAGCACCCCTGAGGCCACTATCACTATAACTCTGCTGGGTCAGACCTGAAGCAAGCACAGCACTGGTTCTCATGCAAGGCCTGCAGTAGGCACTGCCTGGCTATCGCCTATGTTTGCTCAGAGCCCTAGTGCTCTATAATTAGCAGATGGCAAAACCAGCCAGGCTTGTGTCTTTCCCTTCAGGAAAGATACCCCTGTCCCCATATGTGAGCTAGGGCCTAGAGTCAGAAACCTTAGGAATCTACCTGGTGCTCTATTCTACTGTGGCTGAGCTGGCACCCATGCCATAGACAAAGTCCTTCCCACTCTTTCTTCCCCTTTCCACAATCAGAGGAGTCTCTCCTCATGGCCACCACAACCCCAGGTCCACAGCAATTACTGCTTGGCTACTGCTGATGTTCACTGAAGGACCAAAAGCTCTTCAGTCAGTTTGCAGTAAATGTCAGGAGGCCTAAGAGTCTCCCTCTGGGTAATTGGGCTCCCATCTGGCCCTGGTCAGGTACAGAAATGTCATCTAAGAGCAAAGGCCTTGAATTGGGGACCCTAAAAACCTCCTTGGTGCTCTCCCCCACTGTGGCCAAGCTGGTACCCAAGCTGATTTTTGGTTCTCATGAAGGTGCTTTTTGGGTTGATGAGTGTTCAATTTGGTCTTCCTTTGGGGTGGATGATCAGTATAGACTTCCATTCAGCCATCTTGCTCCCCATCATCCCAACTTTTATTTTAGATATGAGGGTACATGTGTAGTTTTGTTACATGGGTATAGTGTGTTATTGTATTAGTCCATTCTCATGCTGCTAATAAAGACACACCCAAGACTGGGTAATTTATAAAGGAAAGAGGTTAGTTGACTCACAGTTCAGCATGGCTGGGGAGGTATCAGGAAACTTATAATCATGGCAGAAGGCACCTCTTCACAGAGTGGCAGGAGAGAGAATCAGTGATGAGTGAAGGGGGAAGCCCCTTATAAAACCATCAGATTTCATGAGAATTCGCCCACTATCATGAGAACAGTATAGGGGGAAACTGCCCCCATGATTCAATTACCTCTCACCAGGTCTCTCCCACAACATGTGGGGATTATGGGATTACAATGTAAGATGAGAGTTGAGTGAGGGCACAAAGCCAAACCATGTCAGTTATGCTGAATTTTTGCGTGCAGATCCTCTCACCCAGGTTGTGGGCATGATACTTAGAAAGAATACTTATGAAAAACAAACAAAAAAACCACCTAAATCTTAATAAGAACAGTTAGCTTTGTAGCATTAACTCGCCCTAGTCTGATTCCTCTTTCTGGAGCTATGTGGTATCCCTATAGCTTCATAACTATTGTAGCTCTGAAAATCAGCAGCCTATCAGGTGCTGAAAGGGACAACTTCTGTATCACAAAGAGCTTCATCTTCATAAAATTATTATTATTTGCCTTTCAGAAGATTTCTGAAAACTTCATTTCTCAAGTCTTATCTTTTTTTGACCCTAATTGGAGCTTGTTTTGCATGTACAACAATATCCCTAGGCTGTTTGCCGAAACCAATCAGCAATTGTTATTTAACATGGTGGTTGCCTGAGGTGGCATTACCAATTGTTGGTAACAAGAGGCTTACCAAAAAAGTTAGAGTAACTAAAAACATAAATAATCTGTCTACAGCAGACTTTGAATGCCACTAATATATGCCTGGGAGTCTAGAATGCCACACACATGTGCGATACTCTGGCATACCCAAGAAAGATCTGGGAAAGCCAAAATGTTTTACTTTTGAATAACCTTGCTGTGCTGTGTAAGAAAGAAGAGAAAGATAAAGTAGAGATATAAACTGTCCCAATGTAGTTTTTAAAGCATTCCGTAACACACAAAGGACTTCAGAATAGAATGGTAGACATATTTGTTCAAAGGACGTAAGAAAATTTCTGTAAGCTAAGATAACCAATCATAAAATTCAGTAGCTGCACAAAACAAAGAATATAGATTTTACAGCATGTGTCCCAGAAAGTTATTAAACAAGCAGCAAAAGTAAGCTTTGGGGAGAGAGATATCTTATTTCCAGAGTTGACACATTATATTATGTAAAATATACAGTTCAAAATAAGAAATTATGACACTTAAAGAAACAGATATGTATGGCCCATACACAGAAAAAAAGTCAATGGAAACAGTCTATAAGAAATACAGATGTTAGACTTACTAGACAAGGAGTTTAAATCAGCTGTTGTAAATATGTTCAAAGAACTAAATGTTATCATGACTAAAGAATTAAAGAAAAGTATAAGAACAATGTCTCATCAAATAGAAAATATCAATAAATAGAAATTACTTTTAAAAATAAATATTCTGGGGCTCAAATGTACAAAAGCTCAAATAAAAAATCTGAAAATAACAAAAACTGAAGCATGTTTAACAACACATTCAAAGTGGCAGTAGAAAGAATTAGCAAACTTAGATCAAGTGAAATTATTCAATATAAGAAATAGAAGAAGAAAAATGGACAAAACCTCAGAGACCTGTGAAAAAACATTATGCATATGAATATATGCATAATGGGATTCTCATTATGGATAAAACAAAATAAAATTGGCAAAAAGAATACGTAAAGCAATAATGATGAAAACTTCTCCAACTTGATGAAATACATTAATCTCAACATCTTAGAAGCTTAATAAGCATCAGGTAGGAGAAACTCAGAAATTCAAACCTAGACACATCATAGTCAAACTGTTGGGAACCAAAGACAAAGCTTCAAAGCAGCAAAAGAAAAGATACTCATCATGCATTCAGAGTCCTCATTAACACTAACAGTTGATTTTTATCAGCAACTATGGAATCCAGAAGACAGTGAGACAACACATCTGAAGAGCTAAAAGAAAAAGTTTGTTAAACTAGAATCTATAAACTGCAAATCTATCTTAATAAAGGGTAGTTAGGACATTCCAAGAAAAACAAAAGCAGAAAGAATTTATTTCACATAGACCTATTCTACAAAAATTAATAAAGGATGCATTCAACTGAAAAAAAGACATCTGAAAGCAACTTGATTCCACACAAAGAGCATTGATAAAGTTAACTATACAGGTGAATATACAAGGCAGTATAAAAGTTTTTCTAAATTTGTAACTCTTTTACTATCTAATTTAAAAGACAATCTAATAAGGTAGTAATTATTAAACTGTATTGATGGACCTATAATATATAAAGACATGAGTTGTGTGGCAATTTTAGCACTAAGGAGAGGGGAGTTATCTAAGCTACATTAGGGCAGAAATTTTGTATATTATTGCAAACCAGTTTGTATTAATCCGAAATAGATTTGAAGTTTTCATTTAAGATGTTAGTTATAATCCTCAGGACATCCACTAAGAAAATACCTCACAAATTATTATGAAAACAACAAGGGAATTAAAATAGCATACTAGAAAATATATTTAACACAAATATGGCACTAGTGGAGAAATAGGAGAACAAAAACAAAACAAGACATATGGAAAATGAATAACAAAATAGAAGACGTATGTCTGATATGGTTTGGCTGTGTCCCCACTCAAATTTCATCTTGAGTTATAGCTCCCATAATTCTAACGTAGTGTGGGAGGGACCCAGCAGGAGGTAATTGAATCATGGGGTGGGTCTTTCTCATGCTGTTCCTGTGACAGTGAAAAGTCTCATGATATCTGATGGTTTTATAAAGGGTAGTTCCCTTGCACACACTCCCTTGCCTGCCATGTAAGATGTCCCTTTCCTCTTCCTTTGTCTTCTGCCATGGTTGTGAGGCCTCCCCAGTCATGTGGAGCTGTGAGTCAATTAAGTCTCTTTCCTTTATAAACTACCCAGTCTCAGGCACATTTTTATTAGCAGCCTAAAAACAGAATAATATAGCAAATTGGTACTGGGAGTGAGGTGCTGCTGTAAAGATATCCAAAAATGTGGAAGTAACTTTGGAACTGAGTAACAGGAAGTGGTTGGACCAGTTTGGAGGGCTCAGAAGGAGATAAGAAAATTTGGGAAAGTTTGGCACTTCCCAGAGACTTGTTGAATGGCTTTGACCAAAATGGTGTTAGTGATATGGACAATAAAGTCCAGGCAGAGGTGGTCTCAGATGGAGATGAGGAACTTGCTAGGAACTGGAGTTAAGGTCATTCTTACTATGTAAAGAGACTGGTGGCATTTTGCCCCTGCCCTAGAGATCTGTGGAACTTTGAACTTGAGAGAAATGATTTAGGTATCTAGAGAAGAAATTTTTAAGTGGCAAGTCATTCAAGAGGAAGCAGAGTATAAAATTGTGGACATTTTGCAGCCTGATGATGTGATAGAAAAAAAAAATCCATTTTGGGGGGAGAAATTCAAGCTGGCTGCAAAAACTTGCATAAGTAACAAGGAGCCAAATGTTAATCACCATGACAACAGGGAAAATGCCTCCAAGGTATGTCAAAGAACTTCACTGCACCCCTTCCCATCACAGGCCTGGAGGCCTAGGAGGGAAACATGGTTTCATGGGTTGGGTCCATGGCTTCCCTGCTCTATGCAGCCTCAGGACACGGTGCCCTGCATCCCAGCTGCTTCAGCTTCAGTTGTGAATAAAAGGGGCCAATGTCCAGCTCAGACCATTGCTTCAGAGGGTGCAAACCCCAAGCCTTGGTGGCTTACATGTGGTGGTGTATCTGTGGGTGAAGAGAAGTCAATAATTGAGGTTTGAAAACTTCCACCTAGACTACACAGAATGGATGGAAAGCCTGGATATCCAGGCAGAGGTTTGCTACAAGTCTGAGCCCTCATGGAAAACCTTTGCTAGGGCAGTGTAGAAAGTAAATGTGGGGTTGAAGCCCCCATACAGAGTCCCCAAAGGGGCACTGCCTACTGGAGCTGTGAGAAGAGGGCCACTGTCCTCTAGACCTCAGAACAGTAGATCCACTGACAGTTTGCACTATGCACTGGAAAAGCCACAAACACTCATCACCAGCCTGTGAAAGAAGCCAGGAGAGGAGCTGTACCATGAAAAGCCACAAGGGCAGAGCTGCCCAAGTCCATGGGAGCCCATCTCTTGCATCAGCATGACCTGGATGTGAGACATGAAGTCAAATAACTTTAAAGTTTTAATGACTGCCCCATTGGATTTCAGACTTGCATGGGACCTGTAGTGGCTTTTCTTTGGCGAATTTCTCCAATTTGGAATAGGTGTATTTATCCAATACCTGTACCCTCATTGTATCTTGGAAGTAACTAACTTACCTTTGATTTTACAGGCTCATAAGCAAAAGAAACTTGGCTTGTCTCAGATGAGACTTTGGACTTGGACTTTTGGGTTAATGCTGGAATGAATTAAGACTCTGGGGGACTGTTGGAAGGGCATGATTGTGTTTTTAAATGTGAGGACATTAGATTTGTGAGGTACCAAGGGCAGAATAATAGGGTTGGCTCTGTGATCCCACCCAAATCTCACCTTGAATTTTAATTTGATTGAATTTTAATAATCCTCATCTGTAAAGGGCAGGGCCAGGTAGAGATAATTGAATCATGGGGGCATGATTCCCCATACTGTTCTCATCATAGTGAATAAGTCTCATGAGATCTAATAGTTTTATAAATGGGAGTTCCCCTGCACAAGCTCTCCTGCCTGCCACCATGTAAGATGTGATTTTGTTTCTCCTTTGCCTTCCACCATGATCGTGAGGCCTCCCAACCAGGTTGAACTGTGAGTCCATTAAACCTCTTTTCTTTATAAATTACCCAGTCTTTGGTATGTCTTTATTATCAGCATGAAAACAGACTAATACAATATCCTAACTTATCAATAATTACATTAATTGTAAATAGACTTAACATTTAAATCAAAAAGCAGGAATTAGCAGAATGGATTAAAAAAAAAAAAAACTGTTGGCCAGGCACAGTGGCTCATGCCTGTAATCTCAGCATTTTGGGAGGCCAAGGCAGGTGGATCACCTAAGGTCAGGGATTCGAGACCAGCCTGACCAACATGGTGAAACCCTGTCTCTACTAAAAAACAAAAATTAGCCGAGCATGGTGGTGGGCGCCTGGAATCCCAGCTCCTTGGGTGGCTGAAGCAGGAGAATTTCTTGAACCCAGGAGGTGGAGGTGGCAGTGAGCTGAGATGATGCCATTGCACTCCAGCCTGGGTGACAAAGTGAGACTCTGCCTCAAAAAAAAAAAAAAAATTCAACTATATACCATCTCTCAGAGATACACTTTAGATTGAGAGATAAAAATAGGTTGAAGTGAATGGATAAAAAAGATATTCCATGTAAATTATAATCAAAAGAATAGCCATACTAATAATAGACAAAATAAACTTTCAGACAAAAATTATGACTAGAGACAAAGAAGAACACTTAAAAATAATAAAAGAGTCAATCCATCAGAAAGCATAACAATTATAACATATATGAACCTACAAACTGATCCACATAACATATAAAGCAAAATCTGAGAAACTGAAGAAACAAATGGGTAATTCAACAACAATATTTGGAAATTTAAATACTCCACTTTCAATAATACATAGATAAATGAGGCAGAAAATGCAAAAGGGAATAAAAGACTTGAACAACACTATAATCTGTAATATAGAGACCTAACAGACACCTATGGAACATTTCAGCCAACAATGGAATATACTGTTATGGTTTTGCTGTGTCCCCACCCAAAGCTCTTGAACTGTATCTCCCAGAATTCCCACATGTTGTGGGAGGGACCCAGGGGGAGATAATTGAATCATGGGGTCCAGTCTTTTCTGTGCTATTCTTGTGACAGTTAATAAGTCTCATAAGATCTACTGGGTTTATCAGGGGTTTCTGCCTTTGCTTCTTCCTCATTTTTCTCTTGCTGCTGCCATGTAAGAAGTACCTTTCACCCCCTTCCATGATTCTGAGACTTCATCAGCCATGTGGAACTATAAGTTCAATTAAACTTCTTTTTCTTGCCAGTCTTGGGTATGTCTTTATCAGCAGTGTGAAAATGCACTAATACATATACATTCTTTTTCTTTTTCTTTTTTTTTTTTTGGTTTTTCTTTGGAGACAGAGTCTCACTCTGTTGCCCCGACTGGAGTGCAGTGACATTATCTTGGCTAACTGCAACCTCAAACTCTGCCTCCTGGGTTCTGGAGATTCTCATACCTCAGCTTCCCAAGTAGCTGGGACTACAGGTGTGCACCACCATGTGTGGGTAATTTTTTTTGTATTTTTAGTAGAGACATGGCCAGGCTGGTCTCAAACTCCTGACCTCAGGTGATATGCCCACCTCAGTCTCTCAAAATGCTGTGATTACAGGCATGAGCCACCATGCCCAGCCAGCCCACATTCTTTTTCTTGGTTTTGAGTTTAAATGCATTTTATTTTTAGACAACCTACATGACACATTTTTCTTAAAAACAATGCATCCACTCCATGCACCCACAGTCAAAATAAATGAAGAGCTCAAGATGACACCCATTCTTAAGTGCACAGGAAACATACTCCAGAATAGAACATATGTGGAGTGGGACCAAAATGGCTGACTAGAAGCAGTGGTGATTGGAGGCTCCCACAGAAAAGAACCAAACAAGTGTGCAAATCCTGCATAGGCAACCAAAGTGTCCAGGTCCTGACATCAGGACTGACTAGGCAGCTGGCATGACCCATGGAGAGGATGGAAGAGCAGGGTGGTGCTGTGACCCAACTGAGAGCCACATGGGGCAGGGACACCTTGACCCTTAGCCAACGGAAGCAGTGAGTGAGCATGCTACCGAGCCTGGAAAACCATGTGTTTTTTTCTCAGAACTGTGCAACCCATGGATTGGAAGATTCCACTTGTGAGCTAGAACCAGAAATATCATTTGACCCAGCAACCTCATTACTGGGTATATACCCAAAGGATTATAAATCATTCTAATATAAAGACACATGCACACGTATGTTTATTGCAGCACTACTCACAATAGCAAAGACATGGAACCAACCCAAATGCCCATCAATTATAGACAGGATAAAGAAAATGTAGTCCACATACATCATGGAGTACTATGCCGCCCCAAAAAGGATTGAGATCACGTCCTTTGCAAAGACATAGATGAAATCGGAAGACATTATCCTCAGCAAACTAACACAGGAACCAAAAACCAAACACCACATGTTCTCACTCATATGTTGGAGCTGAACACTGAGAACACATGGACACAGACAGCGGAACAACATACACCAGGGCCTGTCACAGGGGTGCAAGGGATAGGAGAGCATCGGGAAAATAGCTAATGCATGTGGGGTTTAATACCTCTGTGATGGGTTGATTGCTGCAGCAAACCACCATGCCACACATTTACCTATGTAAAAAACCCACACACTCTGCACATGGATCCCAGAACTTGCAGTAAAATTTTTTTAAAAAGAAAAGAACATATGTTATACCATAACACAATACTCAATGAATTTTAAAATACTGAAATAATACAAAGTATCTTGTTCAATCACAATAAAATTATATTTGAAATTAATAACAAAGGAAATTTGAGGAAATAAAAATTATGGGGAAATTAATCAACACACTCTAAATAACTAATAAGTCAAAATATAAAGTACCAGAGAAATTAAAAAATACTTGAGATGAATGAAAATGTAATACAACATGACAAAATTTATAGTACTTAAAGTAGTGCTTAAAGGAAAATGTATAATCATAAATGCCTGCATTAAATAAAAAGATCTCTAATCCAAACCCAATTTTTGACCCAATGAAAGTAGAAAAAGTAGAGGAAATTTAACTCAAAGGAGGCCAAAGAAAATAATTAATATAGACCAAAGGGGAAATAAATGAAACAGAAAATTATAAACAATAGAGAAAATAAACAAAACCAAAAGTTGTTTCTTTGAAAAGATCAGCAACTGGCTCTGCACTTTCAGCTTAATTTCTACTTGCAAAATAGACTCTTTGGATTTCTACTTCAATAATTTTATGTGTGATCTAGCAGGTGGGAAAATATGTTCTTAGCCTTGGGGCCCTATCTAGCACTCTTGAAACCATATGGCAGAGTAAATTCAAGGCAGTGTAATTATAGACACTAAAAAAAGATTTTGGGTGGACTGATTTTATTGATATCCTTAGGATCCAAGTTACCAGAAAAATGTATTCTAAATATGTAAAATAATTCTTAAGGGAAGGAATTAGTTGTAGGAACAGTGCTATGTGTTTCTTCCCATAGATAGAGGTGCTAATGTGGGAGGAGGTATGCAAATGGACAGAATTAGCTGGCTTGCACAGCAGCTGGGAGGTAAAAGAAATAAAATTTTACAAAATTTTCCAGAATTTTCTGTCTGTCAAATCTGAACAATAGCAGTCATATGTTTTTTTTTCCCCAAAATAATGGCCATTTTTTTATTCAACAAGCTTACCATTATTACATCTATCCTTTTATTTTCATTTTCCATAAATAGGATTTTTATCAATTTAATGATGAGAAAAACATATGTTTCCTGGGTCTCATTATTCTATCCATAGTAGATTAGAGCTATAAGCTACCTACAATGATTGAATAATTATTAATATTATCAAAAATATACTAATTGTATTAGATCAGTTACCAGGTGGTAAACAATCTGGGCAGGCAATTCCTTTTAATGATATCTTCAACACATAGAGTGCATGAAATATAGTAGGCACCCAATAAATATTGTTTTAATAAAGGGATGGAATGATGTAGGTTCAATATGTCTGGCTTAATGAGCAGGTGGTATTTAAATAAATATCAAAGAAATGATTAAAATTATTATCTAAAAGTATGAAACACTTCAATGGGATGCAATATCCAAAAATTTGTTAGGTATATGTGCTTACAATTCTGTGCATTGTGTTGTACTACACATACATTGCTGCATACCATAACACTTATTATCACAGTGACTTAGAACAACATTTGTCTATAAATGGAATAAAATTTGTAAACTTAATATTTGATTTTTAATAAAGAATTGTCTTTGAATTTGTAAATTTAATAAATTTCATATCAAATAATAACAATAAAACTCAACACAACCTTTCTTTTTGAAATAGCAGCTTTCAACTTTTTCATTAAAAGCAGATGATTTGAGTCATTAAAAATAAATTTAAAAGGAGCAATTCTATTCCTTAAGATTTAATTACTAAAAACCAAAGTATAATTATTTTACTTAAAGATTCATAGCATAGAAGGTGGCAATAAATAGATCTAAAAGATGAGTATGTGTAACTTTATCTTAAGAGCTGGAAAATACGATTCACACTATTCTCTCTTTTCCTGGATGTTGGATGCTAAGGGCAGTGCTCCTATCAGTGTGGTCTTACAGAATGTTACAGGAGGAATACCATGTTAATGGCTTCAGCATGTGATGTGATCAGTCAACAACTAAAATATGGCTTCAAAATTATGAAAAAAAACTGCATATCAACATTGAGTAACCATAGTGTCGAACAGATATTTTTTGTTAAATACATCAATTATCAGATAAGAAGTACCACTCCCTTAGGGCCAGAATATTAGGAAAAGGGTCCTATTCATGATAACCCTATTACATAATTAAAAGTTTAAAATCAACTGCAATGAGTTGTTGAACTTATTCAAGTCTGGTATATAGGTACTTAAATACTTATCTAGCATTAACTTTTAAAAGTCTAAGAAAAACTGGACTCGTGGATTCTAATCTCTCTTTGTATTAATGAGGATACTGTGGGGCAGTTCTTAAGATCAGTTTTCTACATTATGATTACACTTTGGAGTAACAAAATAAATATTTTTTTCAATAATGGAAAACCTAATATACTTTATATCAACAGTGTAAAACTGTTTCTCTAATTTTCAACATAACATCTTATGCAATCTTCCCTCCAAAAATATGTGGAAGCACTAATTTTGACTTCTTCCCTTTTTGTGTTTCACTTTACTCTCAGAGCTGTTCCTTTAAAATGCCATTAGAAATACAATAGCAACATTTCAGACAACCTAAAGAGAGAGAGTACTATGAAGCTCCTCAGATTAAAAAACGGAAATGCTAAAATCCTATCAGTAGGATTTTCACTAAGAAGTGGCTACAGCAGTGGCACTGAGTTATACATTCCTGCTTTCATGTAAGTCCTTCAAGTATTTGCTCAAGTGATACCTGGCTCATTGGGGTCTATAACAACCATGCACTGCAAAAGTGCACTCCACCTTGGGCATTCCAATCTCCCTTATCATGTTATCTTTCCAATTTCTTTTCAATAGTTTTCAATTTCTAACATAGTATAAGTTTTACTTATTTATTGTTTGTTGTCTACGGTCTATACAAATAGAATATAAGTTAGCTCTGTTCAGAAAGATTTTTATTTTGTTCACTGATACCTCAAGCACCTAGGACAAAGCCTGGCACACAATAGGTCCACAGTAAATATTTGCTGAAAAGATGCATAAAAGATCACAAAAGTTTATGTAAGCATATCTCCCAAACAAAAATCTAGTTAACAGACATCCTCCCTAATTATAAACAAATAGCTTTTAAATAGGTTTGAAAATTGTAGCAAAGCATGGCTGCTTATGGTCCCAAATCATGAACGCTCCTAATTTTTTTGAAATTAAATAGTAATAACAAATAGAATAACTTGAAAACACATTTATACAAAACCAGAAAGGGAAATTTTTCTCTGTGTCCATTGGTCTATACATATTTATCAGTGGAATAAGAGCCCACCTCACTGCCACGGGCAAGATTTGGGAGAGGAGGGTGAAAAACTTGGGGGAGAAATTCCATTTTTTTAATTGACCTCCATTTTCACATTTTAGCATGACTTGGGCAAGGATTTTCTTCTTGGGCTATGTACCAATAAAACAACCCACTAACTTTGAGGTCGCTTGAAGGAGTAAGAATCGCACTGGGGATTGAACTATCACTAGCTACTCTTTCTCACATTTGTGGGTTTCTTTTTCCTCCTTTGGCAATAAAATTCTGAATGGGTTGAGAATCACTTTACATACTTTAGGCTTCATGTTTTAGTAAGGAAGATAAAAAAGATAATTTACAATTCATGCTTCCTGAATTTGGACTCCAGCCTTAAGTTTTTTTTCTCTTCACAGCATCCTTCCTCCTAATGCTTGGCTTATCTGCTTACTTCTTGGATTCTTCCTCTGAGGAGCCCTTGCAATGGGGCAGAGTACTCTGCTCCTGATTTTAGGCTCTTGATCCCTAACAAAGTGGGCACTTTGCTCTGTTTTGGTAAGGAGTGCAATTTAGTGTTGACAGATGATTTTTAAAGGGCCAGAGAGTAAATATGTTTTGTTTGTTTGTTTGCTTTGAGACAGAGTCTCGCTCTGTCACCCAAGCTGGAGTGCAGTGGCGCGATCTCGGCTCACTGCAAGCTCCGCCTCCCGGGTTCACGCCATTCTCCTGTCTCAGTCTCCTGAGTAGCTGGGATTACAGGTGCCCGCCACCACGCCGGCTAATTTTTTGTATTTTTAGTAGAGACAGGGTTTCACCGTGTTAGCCAGGATGGTCTCGATCTCCTGACCTGTGATCCGCCCGCCTTGGCCTCCCAAAGTGCTAGAATTACAGGCATGAGCCACCGCACCCGGCCCAGAGAGTAAATATTTTAGGCTCTGAGGGCCATATGGTCTCTGTCACAACTCAATTCTAGCATGAAAGCACCAAAGCAGCCACAGATAATGTGTAAAGAATGGGTGTGGATATGTTCCACTAAAACAATGTAACTTTACTCCAAAAATAGGTGGCCAGTTGGATTTAGCCCCCTTCTCAGTCTTTAGTATAGGGCAGAGAATGTGACTTCTCCCATCCTGCTGAGTGCACCACTATGTCCATCTCAGGCTTCCTGGAATGTGGATGGGAGGCAAAATGGCCACCTTGGCTTTCATATGAGCTAGTATGAGGCTCTCAGGCCTAGGAAAATATGACTCCAATGATGAGTTTGGCTTTTTAAGAATGGGGCCTGATGAAATCCAGGCAATATGGTGTTGGTCTGTCTGTTCAGCTATTAGAGAAGTGAACATATTTTTTAATTTGTTTCCTTTGCTTCATTTGTACGGAAATCACTTTTTCAATTTTTTGGCACTCAAACAAAAGCTGATAAAATTTCTCTACCCTAATGAGTTTAATCATTTCTACTTTTTTATATTTATTAAAGATCCTTTTCATAGTTATTAAATGTGCTTTTGAAAACATTTTAACAAGTATGTAATAAGCAAGCATCAATATGTAGATTATTATTTTAGGTTAACATCAAATTATATAAATCATTCAGCTATGAGAGTACAAAGGTATCCCTAAATTTACATTGTTTCCCAAATTCTGAGATGTATGTGTGTATTTTTTTAATGGTGTTAATATCATCAGCTTACTTGCTCTTCATTCTAAAACTGAAATAATTGTAAAAAACAAAAACAAAAACAAAAAATCTCTTATTGTTCCTGAATCTTAAGCATCAAATAGCCATGTTTAACTGGTTTACTTTGGTGTCTTCCTTGAATTATGTCCGTTTATTTCAGGAGTTAGCTCCCTACATTGAAGCATGTCCTTCTATTGCAGGAACTAATTAACAGAAAGAGGTAGGTAAAAATTACAAAATCTTAAGTTCTTAAAAATGTTGTCTTTTAAAAGTCTAGCCTTAACATGGTCTGAATTGGGATTTATTTAAATCAATTTCATAGTGGGGAATCGGATATTTATTCATTCTCTACATTAATTCTTAACTCAGAAATATTCCATACATTTTAGTTGTCATTGTTAATGCATGCCCCTTCTGTTGTCCAACTACCTTCCATCCTATAGAAAAAAATACTGTCAACCTATCAACTTCTATGTTCACTGGGAGTTTTTACTCACAATTGAATGGATACAGCCTAATTCAGAATAAGTTAAGCAAAATAGAAATTAGGGGAGGGAGACTCATGAAACTGAAAAGGCCAGAGGTAAAACTGATTTTATGTGTAGTTTGATACCAGAATTTTCGTGATATCAAGAGAACTCTTTCTCTAGATATATTTCATATAGTCCTTCAATCATGTATAAAGACTTTCAGCTGCAAGTATAAGCATATTTACTCTACAGTGGTTTAATCACTAAAGACAACAAATTACATCTCATGTGACAACATGATGGTTAAAAGTAAGAGGCCAATGACATTAATTCAAAAGCCAAAAAATGTCAAGGCCACTAGTGTTTTTATGCTTTTGGTCCTTCCCATATAAAATCAAGGTGGGAGCCAAGCTCCAGTTATTATACCTGTATACGAGGAAAACAAAACGGGAGGACAGAAACGCTTAGTGACATGAGTTCTGTTCAACAAGAATGTAAAAGCTTTCTCAGAACCCCCTAGCAATTATGTTAACATGTAGTTGTCTAGAAGCATGTCAGATAGCTTTACATAATGATAAGAAACATTATGCAAGGTTTGGCTTTTCAGTCTCTTTAAGGAAAGAGGGGGCTTGGAAATGGGTGTGTAATTAGCCAAATAACAGTATATATCAAAGGCTCTACAAATACGGTAGACAAGTTGTTCATTGACAGCCAACAATCACATCATACCAGATGAGATGGGAAGAGAAACTCTTCCTTACCAACGCAGACAGAAAAAGTCTAAAAGGTTACTGATCAATCTTGTTTCATTTGTCTATCTCTGAACTTATCACTGTATTCAGAATAATGGGGTATACCAATAAGGGTCAATTTAAGGTCAGCTCCAACCTAATTATTTCAAATGGTTTCCATATTGGAAAGTGGGAAACTGTTACCCAAAAGAAGATGATGAGTAGAGAGTGTATTCATTTTCTGTTGCTGCATAAAAACTTACCAAGAGTATACCAGGTTAAAACAACACCAACTTATTATCTCACTATTTTTGTGTCAGGTGTGCAGATGCAGCTTAGCTGTGTCCTCTGTACAGAGTCTCACATGACTGCAATTGAGATGTAGTCTGAGGCTGTGATCTCATCTGAAGCTCGGGATTCTCTCCCAAGCTCATGTGGTTGTTAGCAGAATTCACTCCTTTGCAGCTATAGCACTCATGGTGAATGGCTCCTTTAAGGCCAGCAGAAGATGGGTATCTCAGATACCTAGACCCAGAATAACCTTCTCCTTGATTCACTCAAAATCAGATTGGTGACCTTAATTACATCTTCAAAAATGCCTTCACCTTTACCATATTATGTTATCCAAATGATAGCGATTTCCATCATCTGTAGAGTACATGTTCCACTCAACTGGAGAGGAGGGTTTCATGCAGGGCATGTAGGTTTACCAAGGAGTGGGAACCTGAGGGACCCTCTTATAATCCTACCTATCACAGAGGTATATGAAAATTAACAGATCACTAGAGTAAATATGAATGAAAATGATTGATTCTATATATTCATTGATTTAAGTTGAGGTTACCAAAAAATTGAAAAATTGTATTTATATGGTAATCTATTGCCCTTTTAGAACCACCTTTGCAAAATTATGATAGTAAGAGAAATCTGACAGAGTTGATTCCATTTTGCTTCTAACCTCCAAAATGTCTCATCATTCCTGGGTATAGGCCAAGCTAACTTTGGGAGAAATTTAGTTTATAGTTTAACCTTAAAGCAAGGATGATAATAGCCCTTTCCAAAACTAAATTGCCTTTACAAGAATAATGAAAATCCACAAGGTTAGGACTATGAGAGTATCCTAAATTCTGCTGAAATATAAGCATAGTTCAATGATAACCAGCCATTGTTTAAGAGGTCACAAGATTTGTAACTTCCCCAATTACTCCTGTAGATAACATCACTATTGTAGAACCTAAGACTGGCCTTTTCAGCAGTCTTTTCAGACTTTCACATTTCTGATGATCAGCTGACTTCACCTGGTCTCTTGATGCAGGTCTCAATATGTCCAGTGGCCCCTACCCAGAGGCAGACTCACTGAAGGAGGACTGTTTTCCAAAGACCTGTGACGGCATCTCTGACCAATCAGCAGCATCTATTCCCTAGTCTCCTGCCAACCAAACTATGCTTGAAAAATCCTAACCTCTGAGCCTTCAGTGAGACTGATTTGAGTAGTGACTTCATCTTCTGCATGGTCAGTCTCATGTCAATTAAATTCTTTCTTTACTGCAATGCCACGGTCTCAGTGAATTGATTTTGCTTGTGCAGGAGGCAGGAAGGACATATTGGGCAATTACACTTCATCATTTTTAAATGACAGAAAAATAAGAAAATTTTCTCAGAGTAAAATTTTTCAAAATGATACATTTATTATTTTATAAGCTTATGTGGAGAAAGTAAAAGTTAGTTGATTTTTACTTGATGCTTTTCTGTATAACTGGCATTTCTATTGTTGATTAAACATAATTTAAATCATAATTTGTAACAGTATTTGTGCCTAAATGAAACTAAAATTGTCACAGTGGCATAAATTTCAATGTGAAAAAAACCTACAGTGATTAAATATGATATTTTCTTTTATCAGAAATAAGCTCAGAGTTAATCCATATGGTGGAAAATATTAAAATATTGAAAAGATAGATATTTTTAAACTTAACTCTTTCATTACAAACTGAACCTTGTTAAATTTTATTTTTGAAAAATCACTGTTGAAATATAGAAGGTCAAAAACAGAAAATGTTTATTGACCAACTGTTTATAATAACATATCATGTTATAAAGATACTGATTAAAAAACATATGTTCTATTGAGGCAGAACAGTTAAGTTTTATGCCCGCAAGAATTTGGTGATGGAAATAAAACTTTACATTTACTCAAAAAGCAGCATTTGTATCCTGTCAAAGAGTTGAAAATGTACCAATTAATCTATGTAGTTTTTTATTATAAATCAAACAGTTAAAAAAATATCATGGTACATTTTCTTTTAATAACCTTAGGTGGAATTCCCTCATATTGCTAGAAAGTGACTTCTGGCATTCCAATAACAATTTACATTTGATTAGAAGCAATGTTTTTGCATTTCATTCTGAACACTTACTTTTAACTTGTCAAAAAATACTGCTCTTACAAAGCTGGGCCTTGTACACTACTTAGGGCAGGAACAATGCTGTCACAGTAAAGGAAATCAATTGACTTGAATAGGAGGAAATAAAAATCCTAAAACACAGTTCACAAAGCATTTTTTAAAATGTGTGGAATCAATTAGCGAAAGAAAAAAAATCACAGAAGTGCTAGAAATTTCTTATTGGTAAAATTAATGTAAAAGTACTTAAAAATATCCTGAACTCTTGAATACCAAAAGCATCTTCCACAAAAAGCAAAACAGAGTATCTCCCATATATAATGTTTAGCAGAGTTCATCATGAGAGCTGAATCCTTTTTGCTGTGTTAGACCATTTATTCACTTTCATTTTGAGTCATATTCCTTTAACTGATGCAGAATTTACATATGTTTCTTCATTCAAATGTGTCATTAAGATGCAGGCTATGTTACAGGGTTTGGAAATGATCTTCAGACATCTGTCTCTGGAACACTTAAGGAGCTAGCTGCTCCAAACAGACCTTGGACACCTCTCATTAGAATACATTCCTGATGCTCACCATTTGCCTGAATAATAATTTAAAAGTGGGATTGTATTATTGTAGGAATGAGCTCAGTTGTGTCAAGTTTATGGAAGCAGTTGAACACACATCCGGCATCTCTAGGGAGCAACGTTCCAATTTTGCATTGTCATAGCTACCAAGAAGCAAATAGCACATTCCAGAAAAAAAAGAGAGAGATGGAGGAAAGGGGGTTGATCCAAAAATCTAAAATCTTGATTCAAGACAAGAGGATTTGATCTAGGTCCAATTTATAGTATCTTTATTGGTCTGATCTAGCTGGAAAAAGTGTACGGGGGAGAAGAGCAATAGAAGATTTTTTTGCGGGGGGGAGGGGGGATGGAGTTTTGCTCTTGTTGCCCAGGCTGGAGTGCAATGGCACGATCTTAGCTCACCACAACCTCCGCCTCTCAGGTTCAAGCAATTCTCCTGCCTCAGCCTCCCTAGTAGCTGGGATTACAGGCATGTGCCACCATGACTGGATAATTTTGTATTTTTAATAGAGACGGGGTTTCTCCATGTTGGTCAGGCTGGTCTCGAACTCCCAATCTCGGGTGATCTGCCCGCCTCAGCCTCCCAAAGTGCTGGGATTACAGGTGTGAGCCACCGCGCCCGGCAGAAGATTTAAAATGTATGGAAATTTTCTTTAAAAATAATTATTGATAATTTCATTAGAAAAAAAGTGTGTGAGTAATAGACACAAAAGATTCTGTGAGTTTGTGTGCCTAAGTTACTGATTATCAAAACTACAGAAAAAGCTGAAACATTAGCCTAAACTGGTGATTAATCCCCCTAAGCCTGTTATCTATTGTATTAGTTTTTTATCACTGCTGTAACAAATTATCACAAATTTAGCATCTTAAAACCATATCTATTTATCACAGCTCTGCAGGTCAGACTTCTGGGTGGGCTCAACTGGGTTCTCTGCATAGGTTCTCACAATGCTAGAATGGCTATGTCAACTTGGCTCTTACCTGGAGGCTCCGGGGGAATAAATCTCTTCCAAAGTCATTCAAATTCAGGTCCGTGCTATGGTAGGACTGGGGTTTTTCTTTCCTTAGTGGCATATTTTAGCTTCATAAGGCCATCTGTGTTGCTTCTGACATGGCCCTGTCTACCTTCAAATCCAGCAAGAGAATAGCAAGTTCTTCCCAAATTTTAAATCTCCCTGACTTCTTTTTCTGTCATCAGCTGCTTTTAAGGGCTCATCTGATTAGATCAGCACCATCCAGATAATCACCCTATGATAGGGGCAGCTGTGCCATATAACCACCTAACCAGGAGGTGATATCCCTTCGTATTCATGGGTTCTTAGAATTAGGACCAGAGATAAAATCCTGCCTGTCACATCTCTTGTCAAGGAATCAAAGACATGCAGCAACAGCTACCTTATTTCATATTCTTTTTCCTCCCAGCTCTCCAGTGCCAGAGATTTCATATCAGCTAATGTATTCCCCGCACTCCACCAGCATCCCATCACTACTGGTGAAAGTTTTAACTACTTAGCAATTGCATCGTAACAACATTTAGAGTTCATCTATTATTAGTGGCGGTTTACTCATTGCTGTTTGAGTAGTGACTGTTATAGCAATCAAATCCAGTTTTATGGTCTGCTGGTCAGAAACATTTCTAGTATCTACTACTGCCTTAGAAGGGCTTCACAGCAAACGGACGCTGAGAAGGTTATTGAATTCACAGATTTTATTGGGAAGTGCTCTCAAGAGATATACATCTCAGGAAATAGGGAAATCAAAATGGGCAAAGAAAGAAGCTGGTTTGCAATGCACTGGCAAATTAAGTCTCAGTTGATCCTGGAGCAACTTATGGAGCTGGGTGGTCTTTCAAGACCTGATGGCTAGGCCTTTATATCCCCATATCAGCCAGGCCTGGGAGGTAATTCCCCGCAACAGTGAGCAATTCCCAATGAGGTATCAACTGGAAGCCACAGTGGCTGGTAAGGCAGAGCATTACAGTAGCTATGCCACTGAGAGTGTCATTTTATCTTTGCTCACTCAGAAGATTCCTAAGTTCTGTTTCAAAATCTCTGTGATGCCTGTAAGACAACATATACTTGATATTAAAATGTTTACTTTATAAGAAAGCAACAGTACATCATGGTTGGTTGGCATTAGGATAGACAAAGTACAAATAAAAAAAAAGATGTCATAATTGCTTCAAATTGTATCATTTCTGGCAATAATCTGGGCATTTAAACATTGGGTTCTTTACTGCTAAATGGAAAAATCCTTCTTCCTCCTAATCCCACCCACTAAACTGAATAAATATCACTTTCCAACAGAGCTAGTGTTTGCCTTGTATTTAAACTTGGTAGGATGTAATGACTTGGTAGAGAAAAGACCCTCATTGCTAGATCTGAGCTTTCTCCTTTTCTCTTCCGTGAGATCTTGAAGTGGTCATTTAGTCTGATCTTTTATTCTAATTTTTAAAATGAAAATATTGGAACAGTTCATCTTTAATGTTCTTTCCAAGCTGGAAACCATAAGCTAGGTAGTTGATTTTATTCCCTTTGTGAAAAATTCTTTCCCCTTGAGCTTACATTTCCCAATCTGTTTTCCCCATTTGTCATCTTCACCACTTGAGCAGCCTTGACTTGAAATATAAGGCCACCCCCATACAAGCTGTTCTGATCCTCCAAGCTGTCCACTCTCCTCTCTGCCACTGAGTGGTGTGTGTGTGTGTGTGTGTGTGTGTGTGTGTGATTTCCATATCCTGGCAATAGAAATTCACAGCGTTCTTTCATTTTTTTAAAAAAAATTGTTGTATGTGAGATAGCATCTCACTTAGCCATAGGAGGGTTGAGAAGCCCCAAAAGGAGAAGGCTTCCGACAGTGAATATAAAATATATTTTTACATTACATAGACAAACAGGTTTTGTTTTCCAAAGTGGTTCATTGGGATCCTAAGAATTTGACTCATATCTTTGACTCTGACGAATGTTGAGGGAATTCACTTGCTCCCAAGGAAAGGGTTTGCCTTGGCTCTGCCTGCCAGCATTCCTGTGCTGGGGCTGGAACAGACATCTTCATGGAGGTGTCTGTGCTGCCGTGCTCCTTCCCACTCGCTTCCCTTCCAATCATTTACTGCTTTATCTTATGACTGGAAAAATACATTTATAAAGAAGAAATAATCTTACCACTTAGAGGTGAACACTGGTAACATTTCAATGTGCTTTTAATATGACGTTTTATCTTACACTCAGTTCTTAGATTTCATCACCAAATGTCTGAACCTTACACGATATCACTCTTTTAATTTGGAATTATTTTTATTGTTTCAAGAACAAAAAAACAGTTCTGTGATAAAATCACATTGAGAAATTCAGTTTGATCTGGCATCTCATACTACCTTGCCTTGAAAACAAATTCCTCCTTTTTGAACCAATACCAGGAACTACATCAATACCAGGCAGTCAATGCTGCCTTATTAGCAGTTAACATGTCTCTGACTTATTATACTGCTAAATAACCTGGCTCCCTAAAGACTAGTTTTCTGCTTTTTTTTTTGTTTTCTGTATATTCTTTTTTCAGCTTTACTGGGTTATAATTGACCAAAAATTGTATATATTTAAAGTGCACCATTTGACATTTGGATAATCATACAGACTGTGAAATGATCAGCACAATCAAACCAGTTAACATATCGACAACCTCAAGTAGTTACGTGTGTGTGTGTGTGTGTGTGTGTGTGTGGTTGGTTGGTTGGATGGAGAGTGGAGAGTACAATTAATATTTACCCTCTAAGCAAATTTAAATATATAACACAGTATTTTTAACTGTAGTCCTAGGTTTGTTTTTGCTAGTGCATCCAGGGTTAAAGTCCCAAAGCATCACATGTTAGGACCTTACATTGTACTGCTTGACCACATGGATACTGACTACCATCCTAGTATTTTGTCTCAGTGCTTTGTATAAACTAGTTACTGTGCCAAATAATAGGGATGGTAATTAAAATATATGTGAATTATTTCTGATCTCTGAAGCTCATTATCTAATGAGACACAAAAACATTATAAAAAGTCCTATATAGTGAGAAGTACCCAATATTTGTCTATCTCCCATACTTAGCTTATAAATTAATTCAGTAAATCAACAACCACAAAAGATAATAGTTGTCGAACAGAATGTTTTTAAGCTTGACAATAGAAACATAACAGCTCTATGGAAGATATAAGTTGGAAAAATGAGAAAGGGGAGGTGATACAGACGTAATTCATCTAAAATAAGGGCAAATCATGACACAAAGTCTAATGATGAGTAGAAGGACCAGAAGATTAAACACATCAAGTAGATCAACAAATTTAAGCAAGAGAGAAACTAAAAGTAAAAATATAACTAGCAGAGAGTGAAGGATATGGCAAAAGTCAGTTTATGCGAACCGGAATCCTCATATTTCATAGGTGGAGGCAACATATATTGTTGAAGCTGATAAATCATGACTAGAGATATAAGCATTGTATCTATGGTTTGGAAGGGAAGCACTGGAAAAGAATATGACAGAAATGTGTAAAATAGAAACCCCCTGAAAATTGGGATCAGGGCTGGGTCTGTGCACAGGAAAGGAAAGAAGACTTGTACTTTTTATTTGATATCATCCTCTGCCATTTTGTTTTCAGATTTATGTATTACATTTAAATTGTTACCAATGTATTCAATTAGATTATAAAATATTAAATTATGGAAATAATTTAGGAGCACAAATATCTAAATTTGAAATAAGTTGACTTGAGAAGAAAGAATTTCCAATCTCTGTTGTAGATACTCTCATTATTCCCATTTTTCAATGAGAGAAATTGAGGCTTGGAAATTTCACTTAAATAGTTTAAAGTTTATAAGATAACCAGGAGCATTTGTACTCAGTCCTCTCTGAAATCATATTCTGTAGTCCCCAAACATCTTGCTTCCAAAATGTACACTTTAACCCTAGCTTCTGTACCAGCCGCCATAGGTCCTACCTGCCATGACCTAACCCATTCAAGTATTTGGTTTAATGCCTCTTTGGAGACAACTTGATTATTAAATTATATACTATGTAAGGTATGTTATGTTACAATTTATGTCAGTTTTAAAACATTTATTGAATAACATCTATCAACTAAGTATTTGTTAAATTCTAAATGAGGGCCAGATGATGGGGCCTATCATTCCAGTATTTTGAGAGGCGAAGGTGGGAGAATTGCTTAACCCCAGAAGTTCAAAACCAGTCTGGGCAACATAGGAAAACATCGTCTGTACAAAAAATAAAAATAAAAAAAAAATTAGACAGGTGTTGTGGCAGGCACCTGTAGTCCCAGCTACTCAGGAGGCTGAAGTGGGAGGATCACTTGAGTCCAGGAGGTCAAGATACAGTAAGCTATGATGATGCCACTGCACTCCAGCCTGGGCAACACAGTGAAACTCTGTCTAAAAGAGAAAAAAAAAAGGTTATAAATGGAACATAAAAATTTACATGTCCTTCTTCACAGCTCCAGTATCTCAGTAAAGGAGACCATGTTGTGTAGAAAGTGGTGTACACTTTTGATAGAGAAAGCAGCACAGCATGTGTCCTATTTTCTTACGTGGTTCATTTCTAAAAACATGAATTAATTTCAAAGTCCAGTAAGACTTACATGTCAGAGAAACAATTTTCATGCTCAAAGAAATAAAAATACCATTGAGATTCTAATCACACCTGAATTTTACACTCAGACATTGTCAAAATATTTCCAGTGATTTGAACTCATTATTTAGTTTGATACATTTCCTCAGCAATTGAAACCTGTTAACTAATTTAAATTTATCTATCATCTCAGAGGATAAAATCCCCTTTTTTTGGCATGTTTAATGTTTTACAAATTTTCTCAGTTGATATCATTTTGTGAGTCATATTCATATTATCTCTCAGCATTTTTGTTTTATTTCTCCTTTTTGTAAAATAATTTTAAAAATTTTGATTAAAAATTCTTTATTTTTCTGGAAGAAAATATTCTTCAAGGCAAACATTATCTGGAGAGTGAAGATATAGTTGTAATCTCCACCATCTTTTCTCCTTATTCCCCTGGGTGCTTTTCAGGAACTTTGGAAAAACTACAGGCTACAGGGAAAATAGCAAGGAATTGTCTGTGATGAAATACCAAAATGTGGGATTACAGAAACATGGCTGTTCTAACATGGCAGAACTTTTGTATGAAACTGTTGGCTCTTGGAGCAGGTCACCAGATGATTGGTCAAAATAGTCTCAATAAGGCATGTTAAAAACAATGTGGGTGTCAATGTGTATCCTAGTGTTTAGGTTGCTTGAAGGCTAAAGGCATAAAATTTAAGGACCACCTATATATGGGAAACTAGACACACCCATTGGCAAAGGGTTGGCATGCAGGGAGAATTCAAATGTAGACTGGTGGACTAAAACCAGAGAAGGAGGCATTTCTGCATTTGGCAGGCTCTTGCATTTCTTCCCTACTTCATCATTATTTTCATGTTTCCATTTTTCCTCTTCTTTCTTCTTCTAACATATATTCTATACTTTTTGTTTTTATAGTATCAGTGGATGAATTTCTACTTATATCCATTATCCAAAAAAAGAGAGAGAATTTATCTTTCATGCCAATGAACTAATTATTTTCTTGGGATATAGTGTGTCCCTACCGAATTCTCATCTTGAATTGTAGTTCCCATAGTCCCCATGTGTCATGGGAGGGACCAGTGGAAGGTAATTATGGAGGCTGTTACCGCCATGCTCTTCTTGTGATGATGAGTGAGGTTTCACAATATCTGATGGTTTTATAAGGGACTTTTCCCCACATCACTCATTCTTCTCCTTCATGCCGTCATGTGCAGAAGGACATGTTTGCTTTCCCTTCTGTCATGATTATAGGTTTCCTGCGGCCTCCCCACCCCTGTAGAACTGTGAGTCAGTTAAGCCTCTTTTCTTTATAAATTACCCAGTCTTGGTATGTCTTTATTAGCGCATGAGAATGAACTAATTCATCTTGCTTTTGAATCATCAACTATTTTCACGTTTTTTACGTAATATTTTACTGTTCCAGATAGTTTAAGTTATAAAGTCCTAATGCAATACTATATGGATGCCTGCTATTTGAAATAATTTGTATTATAGCCACTGAATACAAACAAAATAAATATTCATTAGTCTATACCTACTTCACTATTTGCTTTGATATAAGCAGGGAGATATAATTGGAAAGAATACAGGGAAGCAAAGGAACAGACACTCATCTTTGAGTTTAATTATCCAATGTGTACTTATTTATTATTGATAAATCAGGAATTTTCCCAAGCTCTATGAATAGCTCATCCCATTTAAGTTCACAACAATATGAGATATTTTATTCCTCAGAATTTTGATTACGGACAACAGACATGGACACTGTTGATGGACAACAGAATTGCTCACAGAATTGCTCAGGAAGCTAGAAGTCAGGCTCAAATACTAAGCTTCCAGAAATATTTGCCAAAACTATGAGCAGAATTCATTGATGAAAAGATAATTGCTATAGCCAGGTATTAGAAGCTATAAATTATACATCAGCAACTTTAATGCCAGATATTCTTTTTGGAATTTTCTTTTTGCAAATTTACCTATATCAGCACTCAAGTCCTTTAACATCTGTGCCAGGAACACTACTTTGAAGCTTCACTAGCAGCAGTGTGTTCACTGTCCCTGAACAAGCTCCCTGATTTTTCTGTTACTAGCTGCACAATCAAAATCTGGAACAGGACAGTTGATTAGAAAACTATAAGTTAATTGTCTCTGGTCTAGCTGAAAGGGAGATTGAGTGTGTGGAAAAGAAAATGTCTACCATTTCCAGCTACTGTATGGAGAGGGAGTTTTTTGCTCCCCAATGAATCTTATATAACTGGGGGATTTTTTTACCATAAAAAGATGTCAGAAATCAAATGAGTGACATATGTCCACCATAAAGTTGTATGAGCTGTGAACTGAATTAGCTGTTTTCTTCACAGCATATCATTTTCCCTGAGATAACAAATGAAAAACAAGCTACAGTTTTTCAGACATGGGTATTTTCAGAGCAGATATTTTTTCAAAAATTAGTGACACGATCTTGTCACTTCAAGAAAAACAGCTGATAGTTTTTATTGCCAGGGATAACATTCAAGTTTTCCAGTGAAAATTAGGATTTCTGAAAACATGTACACACCACTGTGAGCTTGATGCTTCTCAATGGTTAAAAGGCTTCTCTGATAAGACATTTTGATGTTGTGTAATAAAATGTGTCAACATTATAAGACTGGTATATCTCATTAAACCAATATTTTCAAAATGGCCAATTTATGATGGTACAAAATCATGCATAAGTAAATATTTGAACTATAAGCTAGACCAACTAATTTTAATTTAATGAAAGTAATGAAAAATTAATTGATGTGGTTTTATATTACACATTTCAGGTAAACTTTAAGGTTACCATCCTGAAGTTTTTGTGTCATATCAAAAAAAATCCACAATGATTCAAAAAGGCTGTAAAATCCTCTTCTCTTTTTTAGTTACATATTAGTGTAAGGCTGGATTTTATTTATATACTTCAAACAAACCAATATATTGCAATAAACTTGATATGGTTTGGCTCTGTTTCCCCACCCAAATCTCATCTTGAATTGTATTCCCCATAATTCCCACATGTTTTGGGAGAGACCCGGTGGGAGATAATTGAATCATGGGGTCAGTTTCTCCCATACTGTTCTCGTGGTAGTGAATAAGTCTCACGAGATCTGATGGTTTTATAATGGTTTCCACTTTCACTTCTTTCTCATTCTCTCTTGCTGCCACCATATAAGAAGTACTTTTCACCTTCTGCCATGATGGTGGGCTTCCCAGCCACATGGAACTGTGAGTTCACTAAACCTATTTTCTTTCCAGTCCCGGGTATGTCTTTATCATCAGCATGAGAATGGACTAATACAAAATCGAATGCAGATACATAAAAGTCTAGCCATCATCTATTAAACCAGATACTGAAGAGATTTGCAAATTATGTAATATCACAGTGGCATTCTTATTTTTTGTTTTAAATAATATAGTTATTTTCAAATGTTGTGTTAAAAGTAATAGATTTACTATTTTTAAAATTATTTAATAAACAAAAATTTCTGTTTTAATATCTAATATGGTAAATAGTGATCTATATGGACCATATATGCAAAAAATGTTTTGAGTTCTCAATAATTTTCAAGAATGTAAATATGCTTTCTGAGAACAAAAGGTTTGTTACACTGAGCCAATTCCTTCATTTTCTTGTCTTCAATTAGCTCTGCTTGTTCTCTTCCTACTTTTTTAAATGGTTTTCTTCTAAAACTATTTCTCAAGCTAAGATCTCTTTTAGGAAAGAGTTATATCTAATGACATCCCACTGTTAACGTTTTCAAATTTAATGTATTTATTTTGTTTTCTTTAAATGCCTTCTCCCACCTTCAGTGTTTCTTATCCTGGCTTAATGACTCTACAAATTATCCAGATAATACAACAGAGTCATCTTGACTGTCCTTTCTATTTGTAACCCCCCTCCCCCAAATCACACTGGTCATTAAGTTTAATTAACTTTATTTCTGGTATTTCTTAAACTTATCTTTTTTCTATCTTTCTTTACTAAAGCCAGCCCAACTCAGCCATTCATGACTTATTTTCTTAACTATTTTTTTATCTTACAACAGTTTTTCTTTACTTTTATGTTCTTTCCAGTTCATCCACATGGAGTTTTATCTTATTACATTATAAATCTGATATTATTCCAATATTTACAACTCTATGACAGGTAGTTAAGGGAACAGAGAGACATTAAATATCCTGGCTTCCTTCCACCATTATCTCTAGCTTTGCTGCTGTTTTTTGCCTGCATGTAGTTGGTTTGCTCTCTCTGGAATGTTTTTCGTCCACCCAGCAATTCCCTAGTCTCTCTTTAAGAATCTGTTCCAGTATCAATGACACTGTGAAACCTTCACTGTCACTTTTTAAGTAACTTTTAAGGGCCCTGGGCCTTTGTTCTCATTTGAGTTTGCACACACCTCTATTATAGCAAATCACACATTGTAATATGTGCTTTGACTGTGTTTTCCTGGTCTATTAGCCTCCCAAGAGTAGAGAGTATGTTTTTCCACTTACGTATTCTCAGAGACTCACTCATATCATTAGAGCCTGCCAGTTGGTAGTACTAAAAAAACAATGTAATTAATGAAATCACTGGACATCTTATTTTCTTATTTTACTTATATATCATTTAACTTTAATGAGAGGCAGCATAATGACTGGAGTCCAGATCCCAATGGCCTCCATTTAAATTCTGGCTCCACCACTTAACAGACCTGTAACGTTGGGTAAGTGACTTAACTGTTCTGTGCTTCATTTTCATCATATATAAAATGGGGATAACAATGATATCTATGCTCATAGAAGTTATGAAAAGATTATAGGAGCTTATATACATACAGTACCTGGTATCTAGTAAGGGCTATATAAAGGTTTGTTAATTTTTATTAATATCATTTATTTAATAAATACTTAATACGACTGCTTACTCAGTAGTTTTTATAAGTAAAAAGCCATTATTTACACAAATATGACAAACTACAAAATGATCAATTTGTCATTCACATATATTTTCACTAAATATATTTGAAACAAGATTAAGATAGTATCATTGAGTTAATGAAGTGGATTTTTATTTATCTATTCAATAAATATTTCTGAAGTTCCTAGTTTGGGCTAGACACAGCCCTAGACATTGAAGAAACAGATTCGTCATATATAGTCCCTACCATTATAGCTTTTTGTCTAACCAAGGGAGACAAGAAGAAATTGTACAATCACTATGTATGTTGTGTTTACATGAATATATAAGGCATAAAACTTACACCTATTTGAGGAGGTGAGACAAAAGTTATATTTTTCTTAAATACTTAAATTACAAACAGAAAAACACCTAAGTCCTCGTATAGCTACTTTAGTCTTTATGGCCAGAAGTTAATTTATAAACTGAGCTAATATATATCTAATATAGTAAAATAATTTTACAGTTAAGATCTGGCATTACAAGCAAGACTTAGCTTCGATGCATTGTAACCACGGATAATACAAAGACTGGCTATTATCCATTAATTTAAATATTGTTCACATTCAGTGTTATTTACCATAGTTCCCTGATCAGCAAAACTTACAAATTTGATTTTGATTTATTATTCTGTATGCTATTTAAACAGAAGGTGTCAACAGTCACAAGGCAGACAAAAGAGGGGAAGCTAAAAAATGAAGCTGATAATTAAAACCATTAAAAATTTAAGGATCTCAGAGATAATTTAGTACAAATCTTTAATGTTAGAGATGAGGCACTGTTGTCCCATGTGGGCTTAGATCAATGTCACTCAGCTAGTTGGTTACAGAGCAGGAACTGTAACCCAGGTGTCTAAACAGCAATGCTCATTAATTTATCTTAAAGAAAATGACAGCTGTGCAACATTTCAGACACATAAGCTTTTCTCTCATTCTCTAATGGATTCCACAGTTCAAGGTCAGTAATTAAAGGAAAGCCTTTCCAGCAATACATTCATCCTGAAGAAAATAACATAAGACCAGTGGGGTAGGGAGGAGAATGGTAAAAACCCAAGGGGTTAGAAGTTGATTGTATAATATTTGGAAAATTTACAAGTACATATTTTAATTTAAATTAAGGCAACTGAAGTGACACAGATTTTAAAGAAAGGTAGAAATATTTAAAAATAAGAATGCTGCAAATAATGGATATATTTTCAGAGCTAAACATATTAACTAATTTTAATTAAAAATAAATTCAGTTTAATAGTAAAAAGTATTAAATGTTTAGAACAATTATTTTATAAAATTATACAAATACTAGTATTTACAAGCTCATAATTTTTTCTTTCTTTCCAAATAGATAAGATGTAAATTTTATGTTAATTTCCAAGCAAATGTAATCATGTCTTTGATGCTCACATTCAAAGCATTACCCTCTTTTTAAAAAAATTGGATCTAACATACTTTTTAAAAACACATACAAAAGAATAATGAATAGGATTTTCACAGTGGCTCCCATTTTCTTATTTATAAGTTGCATAATTAACTCTTTTACGATTTCTTGCCTATTATTAGGTTACTTCACATTTTCATTTTATAAGATTGGGAAATTATTAAGCATTTACAAGATCCAGTGCCTTTAAGGAAACTACCGACTGTGAAATAGTGGGATGCTAAGAAAACCTCCAGCGTCTTTATTCAAAGTCATCTCCCTGAATCTAGCTTTGTGATGGTTCTATTCTTTACAACAATTGCACAGGATTCCTTTTTATTTCATCAAAAGTTCATTGATGAGTAGTTCTTCACATGTGGTTGGAATTATCCAGGAAAGGCTCTATAAATAATGTGTGACATGAATTTGTGCTTTATGCTGACATTTTCATAATATTTTACTTAGAAGCTCGTTTAAAAAGTTACTAAAAACCAAGCAAATAGATTAAGCATGAAGGGGAAGTTGGGGTTATTTCATACATTTAAGGTAAATTTACATCTTAGTAAATTCAACACATTAATTTAAAAAAGAGAAAAAAACATGATGAAAGAATAAATCCACAAGCTTTTCAATTATAGCCAACAATAACTTATGTTACCACTCTCAGGAATCATATCGCAAATTAGAAATTTAAAGAAATATTTCATCAAATATGAAGTGAAGGGTGAAGTAATGAATTTACTTTCTTTAAAATGGAAAGACAAAGATGCTTCCTTTTATTGAAATTGTAGTGTAAGTTCTAGCCAGCACAAAAAAAAATGAATAAAATCTTTAAAATGTGGTTTAGAGAATCAAAGAATTATTATTCACAGAAAATAGTATCACTTATATTAAAAATATAAATTACAAGAATCAATTTTAAAATTCAACAAAATTTGTACATGTAAAAATCAGTATAATTACTTAATTGTATTTAACACAAAGTATAGAAAGCTTGTGTTTTGGAAGGTACTTGGTTTTAGCTTTGGCTATTCTTTTAAAGATACTAGATTTTCAGAGGAAATAGTTACCAATAAGAATGAAGCAATGAATTACATTATAGCTTTTTTAATCCAAAAATTACTACCATAATCTTATTCTGCCACTTATCCAGGTGATTTGAAGTAGACACTGTTGCATGATTCTGTTTTCAATTTGATGAGTTCCTTAAGCTGCCAAATTTCTACATTAAATTAATTAGTTTCCTTGGGGAAAAAAGTGTGGCTTTTTTATTCTTTCAGTAATGAGAATTTCATATTGAATTTTCTCTTATAACTAGACTTGTCTCAAACCCCAATTCATCTCCTTTATTCTCTTTTATCCAGTCTTTTCATGGCCTTCCATTTTTACTTTATTCACATATTCATCCTATTATTCTTCCATCCACCATTCATTCAAAAAATAAGGATTAATTTCCTACTGTATACTAGACACTGAACTATTAGTTCCAAACACAGTGAATAAAAAGAATGCATTATCTGGTTTGCAGAAACTGCGACAGAGACAGTGAAAGAAGGAAAACAAAGAAAAAAGCTGTCATAGAAAGAAGAGAGAAGGGAAAACAGACAAATAAATAAAGTCATTGCAATCTGTAGTCAGTGCTATGAAGGGCAAAAGCAAAGCTGAGACAAAATAACAGGAAACCCTGTATTTAATAATAGATAGGATGGTCAATATTTTTTTCTTTGCAAGTGCCTTGTTTGGAACTGAAATAAGGGAGACTCTTGCTGTGTTTTAGCAAAGAGACTGGTGGTATTTTGCCCCTGCCCTAGAGATTTGTGGATTTTTGTGCTTGAGAGATGATTTAGGGCATCTGGTGGAAGAAATTTCTAAGAAGCAAAGTGTTCAAGATGTGATTCAGGTGCTGTCAAAAGCATTCAGTTTTATGTATTCACAAAGATATGGTTTGCAATTGAACCTTATGTTTAAAAGGGAAGCAGAGCATAAATGTTTAGAAAATTTGCAGGCTGATGATGTGATATACAAGAAAAACTCATTTTCTGAGGAGAAATTCAAGCCTGCTGCAGAAATTTGCATAAGTAATGAGGAGGTAAACATTAGTCACCAAGACAATGGGAAAAATGTCTCCAGGGCATGTCAGAGATCTTTCCAGCAGTCTCTCTCATCAAAAGACTGGAGGCCTAGGAGGAAAAAATGGTTTTGTGAGCTGGGACCACCACCCCCCCTGCTCCATGCAACCTGGGACTTGGTGCCCTGCAACCCAGCCGCTCTAAATGTGGCTAAAAGGGACCAAGGTATAGCTTGGGCCTTGGCTTCAGAGGGTGCAAGCCCAATGCCTTGGCCACTTCCACAAGCCTGCAGGTGCACAGGAGTCAAGAATTGAGGTTTGGGAACCTTCCCCTAGATTTCAGAGGATGTATGGAAATGCCTGGATGTCCAGGCAGAAGTTTGCTGCAGGGGTGTGGAGTTAGAGCACTCACACAGAGTCCTCACTTGGACACTGCCTAGTGGAGCTGTGAGAAGAGAGCAACCATGTTCCAGACCCCAGAATAATGGATCCACTGACAGCTTGTGCTCTGCACCAGGAAGAGCAGCAGACACTCAACGTCAGCCTGTGAAGGCAGCCAGGAGGGGGACTGTACTCTGCAAAGCCACAGGAGAGGAGATGCCCAAGGCTGTGGGAGCCCACCTGTTGCATCAGCATGACCTGGATATGAGACATGGAATCACAGGAGATTATTTTGGAACTTTAAGGTTTAATGACAGCCCTATTGGATTTTAGATTTGCATAGGGCCTCTAGCTCCTTCATTTTGTCCAATTTCTCCCATTTGGAGCTGGTATATTTACCCAATGACTGTATCCCCATTGTATCTGTGAAGTAACTTTTGATTTTACAGGCTCATAGGCAGAAGGGACTTGCCTTGTCTCAGATGAGACTTTGGACTGTGGACTTTGAGTTAATGCTGAAATGAGTTAAGACTTTGGGGGACTGTTGAGAAGGCATGATTGGTTTGAAATGTGAGGACATGATATTTGGGAGGGACCAAGGGTGGAATGATATGGTTTGGCTGTATCCCACCCAAATCTCATCTTGTATTGTAGCTCCCATAATTCTTTTGTGTTGTGGGAGCGATACAGTGGGAGGTAATTGAATCATGGCGGCGGGTCTATCCCGTGCTATTCTCCCGACAATGAATAAGTCTCATGATATCTGATGATTCTATAAAAGGTAGTTCCCTGCACATGCTCTCTTGCCTGCTGCCATGTAAGACATGACTTTGCTCCTCTTTTCCCTTCTGTCATGATTGTGAAGTCTCCCCAGCCATGTGGAACTGTGAGACAATTAAACCTCTTTCCTTTATAAATTACCTGGCCTCAGCTATGTCTTTATTAGCAACATGAGAACAGACTAATAAATTTTCATATCACCACAATAGTTTTTAATTAATTATTTAAAACATGACTTTTAAGTAGATTAGGTGACTTTACCCTTATTTTTTCCCTTTCATTTTCAAACTACTTAATGGCTCATCTCACACATTCAGGCTGGCAGATTAATTTTAGGATGACATGTATATGATCTTTTTTTCATGAAAGCCTGTAACTAAATGTTTCTTAGACTAGTGTTAAACATGTAGAAATTTGATTATAATTTACATCTTTACAACATTAAGTCTTCCAATACATGAACTGACGTGTCACCATTTACCATGTATTCAAATCCTTTTTTAAAGTTTCCAAATAATTATGGGAATGTGTGTGTGTGTGTGCATAGAAAATTGTGTGTATGTATATTTTTTCACATACTCCGTAAGTTTATTCAATGTTACGTTTTTATTCATATGGTGAATAAGTTTTTTTCCAATCTATTATCTATGTGGCTCTTAATCTAAAAAGAAGATTTTTGATTGGAATCTTTGATTTTTACTCACTACTTCATTGTAATCTATAATCATTAAAACAATTCTTGAATTCATTTTCCTGTGTTCTGTAGATAGAAAATTATGTATTTTAGGATTGATGATATTCTTGCTACTGCCTGTTAGATTGTTGTGTTTGTGAATTTATTGGCTAGCACTGTCTGAACACAGTTAATTAACAGTAGTGACACTAGGACCCCTGGGATTGTTTTACTTTAATAGGAATTATCCTATTTCTTTAATAAATTCTTTCATCAATTTTATCTTACTGATGACAATATTTTGAAAATTTATGTCAGAAATGTTTTATTTTACTTAAAAATTGTTATTGAATTTTATAAAATATATTTTAATCTTCTATTAAAATGATTTCATTATTTTATTTTATAATATTTATAATAAATTTCATTAGCAGTTTCCTTAATATTAAATAATTTGCACCACACAAAAAATAAGTTTTCTTGGTAATTATGAAGCTTACTTGCAAAACTTTATGCAAAGTTTTTGAACTTGTATTAGGCAGAATTGCTCACAAGTGATGACTAATGAAGGCCGTATTTGTCAGCTTTTGGTCTCTGAGGTATAATAGCTGTATAAAATAATTGTGACTATGTTCTCTTTCTGTAAGATCTATAGAGCTTGAGTTCAACTAAAGCACTCTTCTTAATTACTAACAATTTTTTGTTACAAAAAGAAAAACCAAACTAAATTGGAAGACTTTCTGAATATCTAATGTTTTTAAAATAACAGTTCTTTTAAACTACTGCCTAATGATTTTATTCACTACCTCTGTCTGAGAGAAGCCAAAGTTATTCATTCCTTTTACTTAATCCAAGGGAGATAATTGAATAGAGAAGAAAGAAGAATTGTATTCTTACATTTCTGCCTTTATGTCTCACCTGAAATCTTCTGATTAAACTTTTTATTGCAACCTCGATTAATAATTTGAAGAAATGGTTTTAGCTTGTGCTATATGTATCATAATTAATATTAAGCTATCTAAAAATGTGTAAAAAACCGTGCAGACACAAGAAAACTCCATAAGGTGAGGAGGTGACTTAATATGGTATACAAATAAAATGGGAAAATTTACTATGAAGCACTATAAGCAAAAAATAAATTTTATGTCAATATGTTAATTTTTTTGTGCCAATAGATTTAAAATAGTTGCACCCAAAAGAGTATTTTTAGATGGAGTAGACACTAATGTTATTTGAATAAGTCATAAAATCATCATATTTGAGACTAGTTGTGGCAACATTGGTGTAAAGGTATATCTTATCTCAGATAAATGTTCTACAATTATGTTTCCAGTCATTGGCTTATTAATTTATTTATTCATAATCATGGCTTCTTTCAACAAGTATTTTCTGAGATTTATTATGGATTGTACATTGTCCTAGAACTGAGATTCCAAATAATTAAGACATGTTCCTTGAAATCAAAGACATCTTACAGGCTGGCAGCAGAATCAGACATAAATATAAATAAACACTCTAAAGGGTGGTATATGATATATTAAGCAAATTAATGATATTAGACATGTATACACGGTAAAATGAATGTATAGTATGGAATGATTATGTAATCAAGTGCAAGTGACTTTAAACCATGTGGATGTTAGGGGTGCTGACCTCTGCACAGTTGAAAATCTATGTATAACTCTGACTCTCCAAAAACTTAACAATGAATAATCTACTGTTGACTGGAAGCATAACTTATACAACTGATAACAGTTATATAAGTTATATACAGTTATAAAAGTTACATAACTTATGTAGTATATATAACATATTGTTATTTAACTATATAACAGTAATATAACACTCAATTAACACATATTTTGTATATGTATTATATATTGTATTCTTACCTTAAAATAAGCTAGAGAAAATAAAATGTCATTAACAAAATCGTGCGGAAGAAAAATTATATTTACTATTCTGTAAGTGGAAATCAATCATCATAAAGGTCTTCATCCTCATTGCCTTCATACTGAGTGGGCTAAGGAGGAAAAGGAAGAAGAGGGGTTGGTCTTGCTGTCTCAAGGGTAGCAGAGTTGGAAGAGGTGGAGGAGGTAGATGGGGAGGCAGGAGGTGCAGGCACACTTTTGAAATTGTTATTGAAAAACATCTGTGTCTAAGTGGACCTGTGCAGTTGAAACAAGAGTCAACTGTAATTCTAACCCCATGACCTCCAACTGTGGCCTCCAAATCGATTAGTACCATTCACATATCTGCTTTGATCCCTTTAACATTTTCTGTTTGGTGTTTTCACTTTCAACAGCTGGCACCTTCATCTTCTTACTGGAAGCTTGTACTTAAATCACATTTTTCCTGGGTGAGCAGAGCCAGCCAGACTGGAATGTGTGCCCCTTCCCCACAAGCTCATTTCTTAATCAAAACCTGGAAGTGTGGTGAGCTAAGAATGCTAGTTTTCCTCTGATATGTGACTTTCATCCAAAGTCACATATGTGACTCTGACAACTCTATATGTGACTTTCATCCAAAGTTCTCCAGTGATGTTGTGCTAAAACTTCCCTCTGTGGGGCTCATCTTGAAATCACTCCCTTGACTTCCTTCCATTTCGGGTTTTACTCTCCTACTCTCCCACTGGTTTTCCTGAAAATGTTTCTTAATAAATACTTTCACATGAAATCTTATCTAATGCCTGCTTATGAAGAAGCCAATCTATGACAGTTGTCTTAGAGGATATTACACAACCTCCTCTATAAGTCTACCAAAAGTAGAATTTCTGAATATCTCGTGGGGCAAGATTAGATTATATTAGCTACATTGTTTAAACTGGCAGCCTTTCCACACCGCTTCTTTGTATGGATAGTTTCACTTTTTGTAAACAAATATGTGTGTTTGTTTTTCCTAGAATTTATTTTGTATTTTGCTCCATTTTACAGAACTCATGCTAATTAAAAGAAAAGCAAACCAACTTTGTCAAATTTAATTAGAACTTGTAAACATTTGAGGGCTCTGTTTCTCATGAATTGCACAATTTCTGCCCAGAAATACAAGACAAAGAGACAAGAGTTGAGAGACACTATGACTGCTTCCTCAATAAGCATTTCTCACTTCTCTGATAACTGAACTTTGAATTTGTCTATGAATTAGGCAGCAATCAGGATTCTATAAATCTGACTTCTATCGTGGGCACTGGATATGTGACAAAGGTCTGCTCTTAGTTTAAGAATTCTGTTAAGTCTTTTGTTTTCTGATTATAAACAAACCCAAAATACAATGGGTGACAAAAGCTTGCTGGTTCTACCCCTTCCGAATACGTCTTCTAGGGATGCTCTTGAGACACCCAGAGTGACAAAAGTCGTCTTGATATCCCGAAGCACAAGCAGGAGATAATATAGCATAAGAATGGAAAAAAATTAGATCCTGGTGGCACTGCTGAGGAACACCAGGAATTAAGCTGAAAATACCACCAAGACTTGTCTTAAGTAAGATAACTAAATGTCACTAATGCTTACGACTATTTGTAATGTTTTCATCTGAAAGCACTAGTGATTGACACTGTGTATCATGAAAGGGTCTTCAGCAGGAACAGTCAAGTTCGGGAAGTGGTTTTGGAAAATGGTGAGCAAGAGCTGGTAAGCAGGAAATTAGGTGTACCTCATAACACTGGAAAATATATAGGAAAAGAAAAGAATTATTTTGAACTCTGGAAAACTGTCAGTAAAAGGGAACAGATATCGACCATGATTGAGGTTGAATATGGCATATTTTGAAGAGGTCGTTAACTGAAATGTTGTAAGTTATTTGAAAAGAACAGCATCTAAAACTAACGTATATTAATAGTATATCACATTTGAATTAAAAAAAATTTAGCATTAGTCCATATCTAAAATTTTTAATGGTGAATGATTTAATCAAATGGTC
The DNA here is from genome assembly GCF_000001405.40 of Homo sapiens. NCBI lineage: Eukaryota > Metazoa > Chordata > Mammalia > Primates > Hominidae > Homo > Homo sapiens. Next base: position 18,133,061 of record NC_000005.10, on the reverse strand, counting down.
TTGTGTTTTAAAGTGAACTGCTTAAAAGTTAAATAACTTTCTAGATTTAGTTTGATTAGTTTATTTTTTACAGTTATTATTTAGAATAATTTAAATATAATACTTTGACCTTGTGTTCACAATTCATCCTGAAAGTTTAAATAGATTCAGCTACTCATCTGATCATCTACTTAATAAGTACTGCATTTTCACTTCACCACTAAAATCAATCACTGACTGAAAGTTTGTTTTGGATATAAATAATTTCCCAAAACTTTTCTAAGGCAGGTTGATCTTTCCTGCACATTATTAGTTAATGTGTTGCCCTTGTCTTGTTTCTTTTCCCATGAATCAATTAAACTTTAAATAGATTAAAAGACTGAATTCAACATATTAAAATATATAAGATAAAGTTACCAAATCTAATACATGTGCTATGTTGTAGATATGTATATGCACATATAATAACCTGTAAGTAGTTAAAATTAAATCATCTATTCACAATAGTATGGCCAAAATAGATAGATAAAAATATACAGCTATAAATAAAGAGATACAAAATAAAAAATAGGCAGGGCGCGGTGGCTCACGCCTGTAATCCCAGCACTTTGGGAGGCCAAGGCGGACGGATCACGAGGTCAGGAGATCGAGACCATCCTGGCTAACACAGTGAAACCCCGTCTCAACTAAAAATACAAAGCAATTAGCCGGGCGTGGTGGCAGGTGCCTGTGGTCCCAGCTACTCGGGAGGCTGAGGCAGGAGAATGGCATGAACCCAGGAGGCGGAGTTTGCAGTGAGCTGAGATTGTGCCACTGCACTCCAGCCTGGGCGACAGAGCAAGACTCCATCTCAAAAAAAAAAAGAAAAAGAAAAATAGAAAAATATTTTTGGCATAACTGTTAGAAGATATAAGTGCAGCAACAACAAACTAAAACTGAAATTCTGATGTATAAAAGCAGTCTTAACTAAATGAATATTCATCATGTTAAATAAGAAATATAAACAATGTGATGTATGTTTAATATATAGTTAATAATATTGTAAGCAAAATCTATTCTTTGTACATGTTTTAGAAATATCCTTGGTTCCATTTAAGAAGAAAGAGACATTTTGAAAATAGACATATATGAATAGAACTGCTTTAGAAAATATTAAAACGCTTTTTTAAAATAACAAAAAAAGCACATTAATTAATGTGTTACAGGTGGAAAAAGATCAACAGAGCAGAATAGCTCAGATAAAGACCATGTTTTTATTTAATAAATATAAAGGAAATTTTATGTCAGTGAGTTTGGATTGATTAGTCAATAAATTTTATGGGGACAATTGATAAGAAGTTTTGACAAAAATTTATTTTGATTATGCCTTGATCTACATAAAAATTCATCTAAGAAAAAATGTGATTTCTGGATGTGTAATAATTCATTAAGCATCGGTCTACTAGAATATAGTTGACTTCATAAATAAAATAACTTCATTAAAATACAGTGATGGACATTTACGGAACACTTACTATGTTCCAGACTTTGTGCTAAGAGTTTTACATGCATTCTAACTCCAAATAGCCCTGTGTATTATATGCATTTTCATGCCTATTTTCAAATGAAGATTAGAAAGGCTAAAGCATATGCTCAAGTCCCCACAGCCAATAACTAATGGATCCCAAGTTTGAACCAGGCTATTCAAACTTTAGTCTTTGTTTTCAGTCATTATATATCCCAGTTTAAAACATCAGCAATTTTCACTTAAAAACCAATAATACTTGGAAAATGTTTTGTAACAAGTGTGTCAGAAAATAGATGAAGTCTTATGGTAAGCATGTGACACTGCATTTACCATTGCATTCTCCGAAGCACAAAATCCAACTCTTTCATGCTTAGAGGCCTGTGTGGGTCACAAAGCAGAATATTATATACAGAGAATCTGTCTCTGCCTGGGGAAACATGCAGTCTTGGATGCAGGCGTGAAGAGTAGGGAATGTAGACTTAAGTATTAACTAACCATTTATTCAGTCAGTCAGGTGGTCATAAACATTTATTGTGCATCTACTGTGTGCATGCAGCAAACAAAGTATCTGTCCTATGAAACACACATTCCAGCAGGTTAGTGAGGGGATCAGAAAAGAAAACAAAAGCAAATAGTATATAACAACAAGTTGTAGTAAGTGATGCATAGAAATGTAAGTCAGTAGACTGGGCAAAAAGAAGAGAGTATATTGCAGAGTGGTGACTATTTTAGACCAACTATTTAGATTGTCTTATTTATTTATTTATTTATTTATGAAACAGGGTCTTGTTCTGTCGCCCAGGCTGGACTGCAGTGATACGATTATGGCTCACTGCAGCCTCGACCACCCAGGCTCAATGGGACCTCCCACTTCAGCCTCCCAAGTAGCTGGGGCTACAAGCAGTGCCACTACAACTGCATAATTTTTTAAATTTTTTTGTAGAGAAGGGGTTTCACCATGTGGGTGAGGCTGATTTCGAACTCCTGGGCTCGAGTGATTCTCCTCCCTAGGTCTCCCAAAGTGTTGGGGTTACAGGCGTGAGCCACGGCATTTGCTTAGACTGTTTATTTTAGATAGCAGAGACCTGAAAAATAGTGAGGAATTGAGAGGTCATGTAGATACTGGGAGAAAGAATGTTTCAGTCTGAGGGAACTTAAGAGCCAAGACTTGGAAAAAAAAAAAAGTCTGATATGGTTAAAGTGAGAGCAAAAAATCCAAGTATAACTAAAGGAGAGTCAAAATCATGAACAAGGAAATAAAGAGAATAGCAACATTTTTCAATAAATTCTGAATCCAGATAGATTAGTATATCCCATTTTCCCATTATAGCATCACAGTTATGGTGCAGTTGGTATCTGAGCATGAGGCTGTTGTGAATCAGTCAAATCAAGAAGTCCTTCATGCTCCTGAAAAGTATTAATCATGGCTTCCAATGATAGATTTTAAATTCCATTCTGTTTTTTTCTGAACATTGGTGTTTTCTGTCAACTGATCAATGTATATTTAAGGCTACATTTCAACATTATTTTTGTGTATTTGTTTTTTTAATTAGGGAGAAAATAAAGCATGTCTTTCTTTCTTATTTATTTTCTTAGCAAGTAGCAACCATATCTTTTAACCTTTTTTTCTTGGGTTTGTGTAATAGGAGAAAGACTCCATTTTCGATGTGTGCAGTCTCACAGCCTATTTCCTCTTCTCCCCATGTCAAGGCAACTTAATAAGAAAGCCCATGAACACCCTCCATTTTTTGGTGCCGGCAGAAATTTCAAACAACACAATCCCCTGCCAAAGCCCCAGATCCATCCCTGCCCCAACCCAGAATCACAATAAACACCTGAATCCACACAACCACTGCCCTTGATTCTTCTAGACAGAACACGATCCCCTGTCCTTGAGGAATCTTCTTGTCATTTACTACGTGAATAAATACAATATTAATCTCATATCTATTGGCCCTTATGTGTCGTTCATTCTCACATCCATCATTTCCTGAGTTTAGTGGTGAGGGAGGAAGAAGGGCTACCTGGTATCTAGCAGTGGACGCTAACAGTCTAAGTCAAACAGGTTGTAATTTTTTCTCATTGCCCTGAAATTTGTTTGTTCGAAGCCACCTTAGCTGACCAAAGGTGAAAAATTATTTCCGATACTTCAATAAACAATGATTAAGCTTGGTGAGGACGGCATGTCAATAGCTGAGATGGACTGACAGGTAGGCATTTTGGGCCAAACGGCCAAGTTGTAAAGGCAAAATAAAAGTGCCTGAAGGATAGTAAAGTTCTTTTCCAGTGAACACACGAATGGTAAGAAAGCAATATTATTGCTGATATTGAGAAAATTTGAGTGGTCTGGATAGAAGATAAAACCAGTCAAAAAATTCCTTTAAGCCAAAGCCTAACCAAGAATTCTTCAATTCTATGGAGGCTGAGAAAGGTGAGGAAGTTGCAGAAGAAAAGTTTGAAGCTAGCAGAAGTTCTAGTTCTAGTTCATGAAGTTTAAGGAAAGAAGGCATCTCCATAACATAAAAGAGCAAGGTAAAGCAGCAAGTGCTGATGTAGAGGCTGCAGCAAGTTGTCTAGAAAACCCAACAATAATTGATGAAGGTGGCTGCATTCAACAACAGATTTTCTAGGCAGAGAAAACAGCCTTCTATTGGAAAGTGCTATCCTGGACTTCCATAACTAGAGAGGAGAAGTCAATGCTTGGCCTCAAATTTCAAAGGACAGGCTGACTCTCTTGTTAGCGGCTAATGCAGCTGGGGACTTTAAGTTGAAGCCAATGCTCATGTATCATTCAGAAAATTCTAGATCCTTTAAGAATTAAGCTGATTGTACTCTGCGTGTGCTCTATGAAGGGAACAACAAAGCCGGGATGACAGCACATCTGTTTACAGCATGGTTTACTGAATATCTTAAGTCCACTGTTGAGAACAAATTCTTTTTTTTTTTTTTTTTTTTTTGGAAATGGAGTCTCGCTCAGTCACCCAGGCTGGAGTGTAGTGGCACGATCTCGGCTCACTGCAAGCTCAGCCTCCCGGGTTCATGCCATTCTCCAGCCTCAGCCTCCCGAGTAGCTGGGACTACAGGCACCTGACACTAAGCCTGGCTAATTTTTTTGTATTTTTAGTAGAGACAGCGTTTCACCATGTTAGCCAGGATGGTCTCGATCTCCTGACCTTGTGATCCTCCCGTCTCGGCCTCCGAAAGTGCTGGGATTACAGGCGTGAGCCACTGTGTCCGGTTGAGAACCAATTCTTAGAAAAAAAATTATTTTCAAAATATTACTGCTCACTGACAATGCACCTGCTCATTCAAGAACTTTAATAGAGATGTACTCAGAGATTAATTCTGTTTTCTTGCCTGCTAAGACAACATCCATTCTGCATCCCCTGGATCAAGGAGTAACTTTGGCTGTCAAGCCTTATTATTTAAGAAATACATTTAAGGCTATAGCTACCATAGACAGTGAATACTCTGAAGGATCTAAGCAAAGTAAGTTGAAAATATTCTGGAGAGGATTCACCATTCTAGATATCATTAAGAACATTTGTGATTTATGGGAGGAGGTCAAAATATCGACATGAACAGGAGTTTGGAAGAAGTTGATTCCAATCCTCATGAACGACTTTGAGGGATTCAAGACTTCAGTAGAGGAAGTAACTGCAAATGTGGTGGAGATAGCAAGAAAACTGGAATTGGAAGTGGTGCTTGAAGATGCAATTTAATTGCTGTAATCTCATAAAACTTTAATAGACGAGAAATTGTTTTTTATGGATGAATAATAAATGATATTAATTATTCTTATAATTATTTTTATGAAAGTGATTTCTTAAGGTGGAACCTAATCCTGCTGAAGATGCTGTGAACATTGAAATGAAGACAACAAATTTAGAATATTACATAAACATAGCTGAGAAAGCAGCAGTAGGTTTGGCAAGGATTGACTACAATTTTGAAGGAAGTTCTGTAGATAAAATGCTATCAGACAGCATCACATGCTGAAGAGAAATCGTTTGTAAAAAGAAGAGCCCATCGATGCAGCAAACTTCATTGTTGTCTTATTCTAAGAATTGCCACAGCCACCCCAACCTTCAGCAACCACCACAATGATAAGCCAGCAGCCATCAACATTGAGGTAAGATCCTTGACCAGTGAAAAGATTACAACTCACTGAAGCCTCAGATGATTGTTACCATATTTTAGCAATAAAGTATTTTTAAATTAAAGGATATATATTATTTTTTAGACATAACTCTATTGTACACATAATAGACTCCAGTATATTGTAAGCATAACTTTTATATGCAGTAGGAACCCCCAAAATTTGTGTGACTTGCTTTATTGTGACATTTGCTTTATCATGGTTGTCTGGAACCAAACCAGCAACATCTTTGAATTATGCCTGTATATTAAACTTATGTGCACATATGTTATCTTAATGTATGATAAATTCCTGTGCCTTTATTTTTACTATGTTAACCAAGAAATTTATTTCTGTTTAGATGATATATATTATAGATATATGATATATATATCATATATCATATATATATGGCCCTAATGGTCATTTTACCATCCTCTCTCCCAGTATAAGGAGATGGAGAGTTATTTTCTATTATCTTGAGACTTTCCTATCCTTGTCTCTGATGTCCATCTGTTTAAATCATAACCTGGTATCAAGTATCAATTCAAACACTGCCTGCTTAATATTTTTTATTTAATTGTCTCCATCTCTAATTAAATAAACGATTTGATATATGTCCTCAAGCTTGCTATTTACCTTTCTGAGCACTAGTTTTTATCTATGTAGATTTAGAATACTAAAGACAAATAATCTGTAGAAATATTTGATTGTTTATCCATTTCCCCTTTCACTCTAAACTCGCATTTGGCTCTCTCACAATAATTTATTTTAATGACCTATTGATAAGTTTTGGATTTCAGTAATTCCAAGGTGTAAACATATGGCATAAATCTAGAACACTTCATTGTTGAGTTAAAAAAAACGAAATGTTTTCATCATTTATTGGTTGGAGGGTTAAGGTTCCTTCCTGAAAATCATATGTCCCACCCACATACATCTAAAAGGATGGACAGCCCATCTCAGTCTGAGGCTGGGCTAGGAGAGTCTCCTTAGTTTGGGGCAAGTTCTCGTTTTAGAATTAGCTGTGATTCTCCACTGAAGCACAAATTGAAAATTATCTTTATGTTTTCTTTTAGCTATAAAGTCCTATGTCTCTACAATTTTGAAGCATTTTGTAAGCCTCCCTTCCAAATTAATATTCTCCCTCTTTGGAACCCAAGTACTTTGAAACTCTTTGTACTTTCTGGCATTTACCTTACTCCTAAAATTTCAGATTTGGGCAATGGTGTGATGTAGGAAAAAGCAGACTTTGATAACAGAAAAAAGCTGGGATTCCAATAGCCCAAGCTTTTGTTACTTTGTCTGTTTGACTTGCTGTCCTAGGACTTCAGGGTGCATGAGAAGCCTCACAAATGGATGAAAGAAAGAATCAGCATGCATTTGTTAAAAGTCTAGACTTCAGGCACTGCCCTTGTTTAACACTGGGTTGAAGTGGTATTTCTTAGCTAATTTATAGACCTTTGACAAAAACATTTCTCTCACCTTTAATCTAATCACAAGTAATAATGCCTTCTATATATTTTTTCTTTCCTAAGCCACAAATAGGCACAGTAGTGCTACCTAACAAAGAAATACATTTGGAATGTGAGAATAATTAAATATATACACGCATACATTTAAAAAGGCACAAACATTTCATATTATCTCTTCTTTATTGGCTTAGGGTTGAAACTTTCTTTAAAGAAATGTTATGTATTTCTTATTAATCAATTTTTTCAGATGGCTCAAATGTAAAAAGACATTATTTAAAATATATTTTAGGAGAGCAAAATAACAACTTCTTTTTATACCCACAGTGAAAACATAATATCCTGAAATAGTCCACTCTGCGAATTAGAATTTATATTCTATTCATATGAATTGAATTAGGCAGTATGTATTCTATTTTATGTATGTGCTTATTATTTTATTTCAATTATAACTCAATAAAGCTATTTAAAAATACGTACTTTTTATTTCTTCTAAAAAAAAAAAACAGAAAACCGGATACATGTGCAGAACATGCAGGTTTGTTACATAGGTACATGTGTGCCATGGTGGTTTGCTGCACCTATTGACCCCTGCTCTACTGCTCTAATTTCCCTCCTCTCACTCCCCATCCTGCAACAGGCCCTGGTATGTGTTGTTCCCCTCTCTGTGACCATGTGTTCTCAATGTTCAACTCACACTTATGAATGAGAACATGCGGCATTTGGTTTTCTGTTCCTGTGTTAGTTTGCCAAGAATGATGGCTTCTAGCTTCAGCCATGTCCCTGCAAAGGACATAATCTCATTCCTTTTTATGGCTGCATAGTATTCCAAAGTGTATATGTACCACATTTTCTTTATCCAGTCTATCATTGATGGGCACTTGGGTTGGTTTGATGTCTTTGCTATTGTAAATAGTTCTGTAATAAACATACATGTGCATGTGTCTTTATAGAATGATTTATATTCCTTTGGGTATATACCCAGTAATGGGATTGCTGTGTCAAATGGTATTTCCGGTTCTAGATCTTCGAGGAAATGCCATACTGTCTTCCACAGTGGTTGAACTAATTTACATTCCCACCAACAGTGTAAAAGCATTCCTATTTCTCCACAGTCTCACCAGTATCTATTGTTTCCTGACTTTTTAATAATCACCATTCTGACTGGCATAATATCATATCTCATTGTGGTTTTGATTGGCATTCATCTGATGATCAGTGATGTTGAGCTTCTTCATATGTTTGTTGGCCATGTAAACGTCTTCTTCTAAGAAGTATCTGTTCATGTCCTTTGCCCACTTTTTGATGGGGTTGTTTTCTTGTAAATATGTTTAAGTTCCTCGTAAATTCTGGATATTAGTCCTTTGTCAGATGGGTAAATTGCAAAAATTTTCTCCCATTCTATAGGTTGCCTATTTACTTTGATGATAGTTTCTTTTGCTGTGCAGAAGCTCTTTAATTAGATTCCATTTGTCAATTTTGGCTTTTGTTGCAATTGCTTTTGGCATTTTTGTCATGAAGTCTTTGTCCATGCCTATGTCCTGAGTGATATTGCCTAGGTTTTCTTTTGGGTATTTGTGATTTTGGGTTTTACATTTAAGTCTTTAATCCATCTTGAATTAATTTTTGTATAAGGTATAAGGAAGAGGTCCAGTTTATTTTCCACATATGGCTAGCCAGTTTTCCCAGCACCATTTACTGAACAGGAAATCCTTTCCCCATTGCTCGTTTTTGTCAGGTTGTCAAAGATCAGATGGTTGTAGATGTGTTGGGTTATTTCTGAGGCCTCCATTCTGCTCCATTGGTCTATATGTCTGTTTTGGTACCAGTGCCATGCTGTTTTGGTTACTGTGGCCTTGTAGCTTATTTTGAAGTCAGGTAGCGTGATGCGTCCAACTTTGTTCTTTTTGCTTTGGATTGTCTTGGCTATATGGGGTCTTCTTTGATTCCATATGAAATTTAAAATAGTTTTTTTAAATTCTGTGAAGAGTGTCAACGGTAGTTTGATGAGAATAGAATTGAATCGATAAACTACTTTGGGCAGTATGGCCATTTTCATGATATAAATTCTTCCTATCCATGAGGATGGAATGCTTTTCCATTTCTTTGTGTCCTCTCTTATTTCCTTGAGCAGTGGTTTGTAGTTCTCCTTGAAAAGGCTCTTCACATCCCTTTTTAGCTGTATTCCTAGGTATTTTCTTCTCTTGGTAGTGATTGTGGATCAGAATTCATTCATATTTGGCTCACTACTTGCCTATTGGTGGTGTAAAGGGATGCTTGTGATTTTTGCACATCGATATTGTATCCTGAGATTTTGCTGAAGTTGCTTATCAATTCGAGAAGTTTTTAAGCTGAGATGATGGGGTTTTCCAAATATAGAATCATGTCATCTGAAAACAGAGACAACTCGACTCCCTCTCTTCCTATTTGAATACCCTTTATTTTTTTCTCTTGCCTGATTGCCCTGGCCAGAACTTCCAATACTGTGTTGAATAGGAGTGGTGAGAAAGAGCACCCTTGTCTTGTACCAGTTTTCAAAGGGAATGCTTCCAGCTTTTGCCCATTCAATATGAAATTGGCTATGGGTTTGTCATAAATAGCTCTGATTATTTTGAGATAGGTTCCATCAATATTAAGTTTATTGAGAGTTTTCAACATGAAGGGATATGAATTTTATCAAAGGCCTCTTCCGCATCTATTGAGATAATCATGTGTTTTTTTATCTTTGGTTCTGTTTATGTGACGGATTACATTTATTGATTTGCATATGTTGAACTAGCCTTGCATCCAAGGGATGAAGCCAACTTGATCATGGTGGATAAATTCTTTGATGTGCTGCTGGATTCAATTTGCCAGTATTTTATTGAGGATTTTCTCTTCGATGTTCATCAGGGATATTGGCCTGAAGTGTTCTTTTTTTGTTGTTGTGTCTCTTCCTGGTTTTGGTATCAGAATGATGCTGGCTTCATAAAATTAGTTAGGGAAGAGTCCTTCCTTTTCAATTGTTTGGAATAGTTTCAGAAGGAATGGTACCAGCTCCTCTTTGTATTTCTGGTAGCATTCAGCTGTGAATCCTTCTGGTCCTGGGCTTTTTTTGGTTGGCAGGCTACTAATTACTGTCTCAATTTCAGCGATTGTTTGGGTCTATTCAGGGATTCAACTTCTTCCTGGTTTAGACTTAGTAGGGCATATGCGGTCCAGGAATTTATCCATTTCTTCTAGATTTTATAGTTTATTTGCTTGGAGGTGTTTATAGTATCCTCTGATGGTAGTTTGTATTTCTGTGGGGTCAGTGGGGATATCTCCTTTATCATTTTTTATTGTGTCTATTTGATTCTTCTTTCTCTTATTTTCTATTAGTCTAGCAAGTGGTGGTCTACTTTTTTTTTTTTTTTTTTTAGAAAAACAGCTCCTGGATTCCTTGATTTTTTTGGAGGGTTTTTGTGTCTCTGTATCCTTCAATTCTTCTTAGATCTTAGTTATTTCTTGTCTTCTGCTAGTTTTTGGATTAGTTTGCTTTTGCCTCTGTAGCTCTTTTAATTGTGATGTTAGGGTGTCAATTTGAGATCTTTCTAGCTTTCTGATGTGGGATTTAGTGCTATAAATTTCCCTCTTAACACTGCTTTAAATGTGTCTCAGAGACTCTGGTACATTGTCTCTTTGTTCTCATTGGTTTTAAAGAACTTCTTGATTTCTGCCTTAATTTCATTATTTACCCAGGAGTCACTCAGGAGCAGGTTGTTCAAGTTCCATGAAATTGTGTGGTTTTGAGTGAGTTTCTTAATCCTGAGTTCTAATTTTATTGCACTGTGTTCTGAGAGACAGTTTGTTATAATATCTGTTCTTTTACATTTGCTGAAGAGTGCTTTACTTCCAAGTACGTGGTCAGTTTTGGAATAAGTGTGATGTCGTGCTGAGAAGAACGTATATTCTGTTGATTCGGGGTGGAGAGTTCTGTAGATGTCCATTAAGTCTGCTTGGTGGAGAGCTGAATTCAAGTCCTGGATATCCTTGTTAACTTTCTGTCTTGTTGATCTGTCTAATGTTGACAGTGGGGTGTTAAAAATCTCCCATTATTATTGTGTGGGAGTCTAAGTCTCTTTGTAGGTCTCTAAAGGACTTGCTTTATGAATCTGGGTGCTCCTGTATTGGGTGCATATATATTTAGGATAGTTAGCTCTTCTTGTTGAATTGATCCCTTTACCATTATGTAACGGCCTTCTTTGTCTCTTTTGATCTTTGTTGGTTTAAAGTCTGCTTTATCAGAGACTAGGATTGCAACCCCTGCTTTTTTTGCTTCCCATTTGCTTGGTAAAATTTCCTCAATCCCTTTATTTTGAGCCTGTATCTGTCTTTGCATGTAAGATGAGTCTCCTGGATACAGCACACCAATGGGTCTTGACGCCTTATCCAATTTGCCAGTATGTGTCTTTTAATTGGGGCATTTAGCCCATATACACTTCAGTTCAGACAGAGTTTGATCCTGTCATCATGATGCTATTTATTATCATTGGATTTTAATGCAGTTTCTTCGTAATGTCATTGGTCTTTATATTTTGGTGTGTTTTTGCAGTGGCTGGTACCAGTTTTTCCTTTCCATATTCAGTGCTTCTTTCAGGATCTCTTGCAGGGCAAGCTTGGTGGTAATGAAATCCCTCAGCATTTGCTCATCTGAAAAGGTTTTATTTCTCTTTGCTTATGAAGCTTAGTTTGGCAGGATACGAAATTCCGGGTTGAAAATTCTTTTCTTTAAGAATGTTGAATATTGGCCCCCAATCTCCTCCAGCTTATAGAGTTTCTGCTGAGAGGTCCACTGTAAGTCTGATGGCTTTCCTTTGTAAGTGACCTGGCCTTTCTTTCTGGCTGCCCTTAACAGTTTTTTCTTCATTTCAACCTAGGAGAATCTGATGATTTTGTGCCTTGGGGTTGACCTTCTTGTGCAGTATCTTACTGGTTTTCTCTGAATTTGCATGCTGGCCTCTGCTAGGTTAGGGAAGTTCTCTTTTAACATGAAGGGATATGAATTTTATCGAAGGCCTTTTCTGCATCTATTGAGATAATCATGTGTTTTTTTTGTCTTTGGTTCTGTTTATGTGATGGATTACATTTATTGATTTGCATATGTTGAACTAGCCTTGCATCCAAGGGATGAAGCCAACTTGATCATGGTGGTTAAGTTTTTTTGATGTGCTGCTGGATTCAATTTGCCAGTATTTTATTGAGGATTGTACTCCAATCGATCGTTAGGTTTGGTCTTTTTATGAAGTCCCATATTCCTTGCAGACTTTGTTCATTCCTTTTCATTCTTTCTTCTCTATTCTTGTTTGCATGTCTTATTTCGGTAAGATGGTCTTCAAACTCTGATATCGTTTCTTCCACTTGGTCTATTCAGCCATTGATACTTGTGTATGCTTCATGAAGTTCTCGTGCTGGGTTTTTCAGCTCCATCAGGTAGTTTATGTTCCTCTGTAGACTGGTGATTCTAGTTAGCAGCCCCTATAACCTTTTTTCATGGTTCTTAGCTTCTTTGCATTGGGTTAGAACACACTCCTTTAGCTCATCGTAGTTGGTTATTATCCATCTTCGGAAGCCTACTTCTGTGAATTCGTCATCTGATCCTCCATCTAGTTCTGTGAACTTGATGGAGAGACCTTGCTATCATTTGGAGGACAAGAGGCACTCTGACCTTTTGGGTTTTCCACATTTTTTCATTGATTCTTTCTCACCTTCATGAGTTTTTCTAGTTTTGGTCTTTGAGGCTGCTGACCCTTGGATGGGGTTTTTGTGAGGGCCTTTTTGTTGTTGTTGTTGTTGTTGTCACTTTCTGCTTGTTTCTTTCAATAGTCTGGTCTCTCTTCTACAGGGCTGCTGCAGTTTGCTGGGGGTTCACTTCAGGCCTGTTCATTTGATTTGCTTCTGTGCCTGGAGATGTCACTCAAGGAGGCTGGAGAGCAACAAAGGCGGGTGCCTGCTTCTTCTTCCGGGACCCCTGACCTCGAGGGGCACCAACCTGATGCTAGTAGGATTGCTCCTGTATAGGGTGTCTGACAATCCCTGTTGGAGGGTCTCACCCAGTTGGGTTGAACAGGGAGCAGAACCCATTTTACGAAGCACTTTGTCCCTTGGTGGAAAGGGTGTATTTTGCTGGGGAGAAACTCACTCATGTGGGCTGCCTGGATTCCTCAGAACTACCAGGAGGAGAGGTTAAGTCTGCTGGTCCCCAAAGAGTGCAGCCACCCCTCCCACTAGGGGCTCAGGCCCAGGAAAATCCTAATTCTGTCCCTGAACCTCTAGCTGGAGTTACTGGAGATCCTGCCAGGAAGCCCCGCCCACTGAGGAAGGATGGGTCAGAGTTAGGCCTGAAGAGGCACTTTGGCCACAGATTACCACAGCGGGTGTGTTGGGCTATGGAGACAAGTCTTGGGACCAAGACTTACAGCCTCCTTGGCTCCAGCAGAGAAAAAGCACAGCATGGAGCTATAGAAATGCGTGCCACCCTTCCCCCACCCAGGGAGCTTAGCATGTTAGGCAGTTGTGAGTCCCATGGCTTAGACAGCAGGCAGCCACAGGGCCTGCTGATCTCCCCTCCCCCTAGGAGTTTGGTAGGCTTAAGCAGATTCCAGCTGAGAGGCTATAAGAATCTGCACGTTCTGGGGTTGGGACACTAGGCGCCGGTGGTGTGGGTTCGCGAGCGGGATCTTCCAATCTGTGGGTCACACAGTTCCACAGCAAAAGCGCAGTTTCTCCTGCTGGGTGGCACGCTCACTCACTGCCTCCCTTGGCTGGAGGAGGGTGTTCCCTTTCCTGTGTGGCTCTCAGTTGGGCCCTCTGCACCACACTGTTCTTCCTTCTCTCCATGGATCATGCCAGCCTTCTAGTCAATTTTGATGAGAGAACCTCGATACCTTGGTTGCTGCTGAAAGCTTGACATGCTTATTATGGTTTTTTTTCGATGGGGAGCCTCCTAACGCTGCTGCTTCTAAATACATATATATTCTTCAGTGCAAGGCAGTGGAAAGTGAGAAAAATAGGTTTGTAAGAGGAAAAAGAGTGATGGAGGTTGTCTCTATTTCAGTAGGTGGTGACATATTAAACTACATTCTTAAATATTCTGTATAAGTACAGCTTTTAAGGGAATACTTCTGTGTATTTCTAAATCATATTTATAGCAACAGAATTCTTTGTATCAGTTGGGATTCTGCATTTAACATAGGAATAAAATAGGCAATAATTTTCCATTAGTCCAGCCTATGTATATGTGTGTGTTTGTGTATGAATATATACACACTCACATAACACACATGCATACATACATGCAAGTGTGTGTGTGTGTGTGTGTGTGTGTATACTCATATAGTTAGGGGAGAATGTTTGATACATTTAACCTATAAGGAATTTATAATTGGCCTCCAATCATCAAGAAAAGCAAGAACTTTACTCACAAACACACACACACACACACACACACACACACACATCTTGGATGCTTTGTATACAAAATAATTTTCAAGTGACCTAAAGGTGGTGGAAAGATTGCCCAACATCATTAGTGCTAAACTCATCTCAAAGCCATACTTCCTATACCAGCTATTTAGAATATTACATTAATGCCGTCACCTAAATGATGTGCAGAATAAATTCCACCTACTAATTTCAGTAAAGTGTGAAGATTGTTCTTACATTCATTCACCTAGTCATTTAACCAATTCACTTAACAAAAAAAAATTCAAAGGTTATTATGAATCAGACGTTGGCTGTGATGGGTGGGATAGGATAGTTACATAATCACTTATGTTTGCTGCACTGCCATATATGCTAATGTAAGATACACCAAGTGCAGGAGAATTCCCAAGACAACAGTTTAATCACTTCCTCTAGAGACTTGAACATTCATTACTGAGAGCAATAAACCCATCAAAAAGGAGAAAATCTATAATATTTCAATAGAAATCAAAATTTTGGGAGTATTAATTCATGGAGTTAGAAACAATACCCACTTCTATATATCTAGTGGCAATGTAATTGGGGAATTGTTGACTAGACCTGCTTTATGAATAAACAAAGCTGAAGTAAGGGATAAAAATAAAATGTCTGACTATCTATCAAAGAAATAAAAATCTCACTTACTGCTGATATAAGAAGCCTGTTAATGTTATCCTGAGATTTTACAAAGTACAACTTTGTAAAATGTTGAAGCCATTTCAGACTGCCCACCAACTGACAATGCTGCTTACCTGCTCTCCCCTACACCTTTAAAACATTTATCAGAATTATCTTTGAAGTCCATATGAAGAATTTGTATTTTGTTTGGTAGGCACTGGGAATCTTAAATATTATTTGACCTGGAAAACAATATGTTCATAAAATATAGTACTTGGAAACAGTATTCTGCAAGAGATTTGAAGAATGGAATTAAAAAGAAAGAGATTGAAGTTCAGAAAACAGTCAGTGGGGTATTTCTGTCCTTTAGGTGCTAAGTAATAGAGCATGTTTCATATAGCAAATAGAGACTAGACAAGAAGTGTTAAAACCTCTCAGAACCATTGAATCTGGATTACTTATAGAATAGTCAGACAAAAAAATGTGAATTAAAAAGAAAGCTGTGTTTGGGTTTCATTGTTATTTCTCTTTTCTCAAGAACATAAAATAATGAGTTATTTTATTTGAAATGATAAGGAGAAGAGTGTTGAAGTATTTTGAGAATAAGACTTAATATTGCCACAAACCCGTTTTTCAGATGAGTCAACTGAAGCCTAAAGAAGTAATGTGTTCAGTGTTAGCCAACTCATAAGCGGAAGAACCAGGACTTGAACCTAGACATCCTGGCTATGAGAGATTCTGTTCTCATCCAAATTACCATCCAAAAGTAGGACTCAGGAGAAGAGTCAGAGCTCATGAATGCCTAGACTTGGGGGAGGAGGAACCATAGGAGGCAGCATAGTCATTTTTTACCAGTGGCCAGCAGGGTGGATTAATAATCAGATCCGTGAGTCCAAATATGAGCAGAAACTGGCATTTCTATTTAAAAAGAAGATCTGTACGTGATTGTGATTCATTGACAGGGTGAGAATCAATAATGTGGAATGGGCTATGTAAGACGGCAGAAACGTAAACCTTGAGAAATGTCTACATGTATTAGGAACACTATTTAAATTTTGTCATTTATTCTGTACACCATCCCCTACATTTTAAATTTACCAGTGGAGTCACAGGGCTTAAGCCACATCCATAGGTACATACATTCTAAATATTTAACAGGATTCAACTTGAAACCTGATTTGAAAGTCCATATTTGTCCTACTAGAGTGGTATTTCTTTAAGATTGTGTTGTCAGAACCCTAAGGTCTAAAAAGTTGCCTTAGGCTGCCTTCCTGTAGGAAACAGAGAAGATTGAAAGGATGCAGAAGAAGGGCAGCTTGGAAGTTTCACTCCCTTCTTACATTCCAGTCACAGAATCTCTGCTCTTATGTGGTAGAATTCTGTCTATATTTAATTTAAAAGGGGTCCAGGTGACTAAAAATATTTGATCATTACGAAATAAGCCAAGAAGACAAAGTAGGAGTGATGTGAGCAGAAAAGGATGTTCAGGAGGTAGCACTGTGATGTTCAGGAATACTCTATTTTTTATTTTATTTTTTTGAGTCAGTTTATTTTTTGTTGCCCAGGCTGGAGTGCAGTGGCACCATCTCGGCTCACCGCAACCTCTGCCTCCCAGGTTCAAGCGATTCTCCTGCCTCAGCCTCCCGAGTAGCTGGGACTACAGGCACGAGCCACCATGTCTGGCTAATAGGAAGACTCTATTTTAACTAATTTATGCAAATAATAAAAATTGAAAGACTCACAACTACTATTAACTATACAATTAATTGAAAAATTAAAGTATTCCCAGTAAGTCAATGCTATTTAAATTGTTCCTTTTTATCAGACAAAATATTTATACATATTTTACATTAGCCAACATTTCTTCACAACTTGCTTCAGTTTTAAGACAAGATTTTAGGTAACCTGTCACCATGCATCGTGTTCTGAGGGGAAATCTTAGTAACAGAAGCTACAAACTGCCACCCAGGTCAAAATAGACTCCCTGCAATGTTTTAGTAGTGGGGTGACTGTGTGATCTACCATCTAAACCCAAACATTTTAGGAAGTGAAATGAGGAGCTATTAGCCCATGACAACAGGAGTGAAACATGACAGTCCCATGCACACAGAGATGTATGATCATGCCATCTGTTTAACCACTATAAAGGATAAAATCAATCTGAGTGTCCGCCATCAGGTCCGTCAATTCACCGAAGTCCTTTCTACTCCCTTCTGCTCATCTTTTTGTTACCGACCTGATCCGTGTTTTATACAAAGGAAGAACACAGACATAAAATCATTCCCTTCATAAGTAAAGGCTGGAAAAAGTCTGTGTGTGTGCATGTGAGTGTGTGTTTAATCTATTCATACTTTGATTCTCCCATACAGTTGACAATCTTTCCTCTGTGTCTCATCACAAAGATTCTCATTTCTTCTTCCCTCAGACTCCAACTCAAAATCTTTTGTTTGTTCCCAAAGAAGCAGAATTCCAACTGACCTTGCAATCAATGCAGTTAATATGATTTCTATTACTTTTTATTGGGTATAATAAAATATAGGGATATTTGAAGTCCACATGAATAATTTGCATTTTGTTTGGTAGGCACTGGGAATCTTAAATATTATTTGACCTAGAAAACAATGTGCTTATAAAATATAGTACTTGGAAACATTATTCTACAAGAGATTTGAAGAACAGAGTTAAAGAGAAAGAGATTGAAGTCCAGAACACAGTCAGTGGGGTATTTCTGTACTATAGGTACTCTAAGTAATAGAGCATGTTTCATATGGCACTTAGAGACTAGATGAGAAGCAATAAAACCTCTCAGAAGCATTGAAAAACATACCTGAGGCTGATGAATAAGAACCACAGACCAATACACATCTTAACACTTTGCCAAATTCCTACCATCTGATCTATATTGCGTTTTTAATGTGATCTATTAAAATGCCAGGTTTAATGTATGTATTCTCCACGAAACAAATGAAGTACTATTAGCAAATCAGCCAGTTTAGAACATTCATGCACACAGAGCTGCTAAGGTTGCTACATTAACAAAACCTGTGTCCTGTTTTGGAGTACTAAATGAACATTAGCATAAAACCACAAACAAGAGAATAAGGATGAGAATAACAAATTTTGAAAATCAGAATGAATTGTTCTTTCAGGGGTTTGACAGATTATTTTTTAAAGAAGGAGGAGATAAGAGCTGGTTTGTTGTTTGTGCAATGCTGAGATGAATTACCCAAGACCTTATATAAACCGAAAGCTTGTATTGACCTGTTGAAATGGGAAAGCTTGTAACCATGGCAACAGAGGACAAGTAAAATAGGATTTTGCTGCAGTTATAAATAAGGTAGAGAAACCAGTAGACTTTTCCTCCCTCCATCTGTAATAAAGACAACACAGAAAATGAAAACCACCATTTTTCTGTCTACGGTTTTTCCGGTTATAAAATGCACGTCATGTTTTGGATGAAAATCTCCATAGAGGCAGACTGATCTACAAGGTGCGGGGGAAGGGAAGTTAGGGGGTGGTGATTGAGGGAATGAAGAAGAGTGAGTAAAATCTAGATCTGAGGCAATGGCAGTGTTTAAATAATTTATTCTTTCTTAGGAGCACGCTATAGATAGCTGCAGTTCAGAGTTGCACATTGCAGAATTTCTAAATATACAGATCCAAGGTGAAGGAGAAAAAATCATCACATCCTTTCAAATTGTTATGCTATATCTTTCTTTTAGCTAGAGTAAAAAAAAAAAAGACATCAAGTGCAGCATATATTTAACTGTATCTATTCTTACTATGTTTTAAAATCTGTGATAAATGGAAAGTGATACATAAGGCTTCATGATATAAACCTATGCAGGTTAAATGGCAACTATGATTAATTCTGTTGATTTTTTTAATTCAAAATTTTCATCAAATGTCTTTCAAAAATCGAAACCGTTTTCACCCAACACTTGGTGGCACTGCTGCTTCATAAGGCAAGACTGCAAAAGATTTCCAAATCATGTGTTTCAGGGCTTTGGAAAAAACCTTGTCTCCCCTTCTGCAGTGCAACAATTTGGGTATAATGCCTTGAATATGCTACACAAGGCATCTGCTGTGGCTACTGAAAAAGAATCTGTTACAAGCCCTAATTTTTCTCTTTTTTGAGACGGAGTCTAGCTCTGTCGCCCAGGCTGGAGCGCAGTGGCGCAATCTCAGCAAGCTCCGCCTCCCGGGTTCACGCCATTCTCCTGATTCAGCCTCCCGAGTAGCTGGGACTACAGGTGCCCACCACCACGTCCGGCTAATTTTTCTGTATTTTTAGTAGAGACGGGATTTCACCATGTTAGCCAGGATGGTCTCGATCTCCTGACCTCATGATCTGCCTGCCTCGGCCTCCCAAAGTGCTGGGATTACAAGCGTGAGACACTGCGCCCGGCCACAAATCCTATTTTATTCTTACAGTAGGTTCATAGGGATGAAAAAATGAAGGCGAGGCACTTTTACAGAATCGTTATTAGGTTGATGATCTAGGGTCAACACTGGGTAATGAAACTCTCTGAGATGATGAAAATAGTTTACACTTTTGCTGTTTAATATGCAGACACTACATGTGGCTATCGATCTTGAAATGTAGCTAGTGCAATGGAGAAACTGCAAATTTATTATTTTTTAATTTCAATTAATCTTAACTTAAATTTCAAGAGTCGCAAGCGGCTAAGTCTATTCCCTTGGACCACATAACCTGTGCTGTGCACTGTGTAAGGATCTAAACTGTTGGCTGAAGATGGTTAAGCAGGAAAGAATAGAAAAGATAAAAAATGTGATGACACCACCCTGTTTCCCTATCATTTGGGAAAATATAATGAAATAAAATTAACTAATCGCTCATGTAATAAAATCAGTTCACCAAGCCTTTCCATTGTCACCTGAGAAGAAGTGGGGTGGTTTTCTTTATAGTAATATATAAACGGATAAATTTTTCAGTCTAAAAGTTGCTCCTACTCTGTATATTTTTTTCACCTGCATAAAACTGAAGGGAAAAAAACACATTTTATATGAGTAAATTTGTATGGTGTATGCCTAAGGGATAGTCCTATGGAATTCCATCTTCAATTACCTAGCTAAATGCCAGCGAGGTTTTCCAAATTCATTCTCTTATCCCATTGAATGCCGAACAATTTGAAGACATAGATGTTATACAGCGAGTTGCACAATAAAGTAAATGATTAAAAGATACAGTCTTGTGTCTCCAGAAATAAGAGCATATTGGAAAGGAGAATGACAATGGGATGTGGCCAGTTTTTCTGTGCCCTCGACCATCCTTAATTCTAACACTGATTTCTCCCTTTACTTCCTATGGAGCTTATTCAAATTTTATTAAATTTGATTCTGTCTCTCTTACTAGGAGTTGGGCTCTCAGAGGAAAGAGACTGATTTTTTTTTCTTTTATTTTCTTTCTTTCTTTTTTTTTTTTTTTTTTTTTTTTTGTTACTTCTGGCCCTTAACTGTATACTTCAACTTTTTTTCGATTAGCAGAGAAGGTGAAGGGATTAGGAGAATTGAGATGTCATAAATGGGAATTCCTCTATTATAAAAGTCATGTGTCAATAACGACCTCATAATAGTGACAATGCACTCACTCCACTGACAGCTATGGATGTGTAGGAATTACTGCCAGCGTCTTGCAAGAAATCCATTCTAGGTTCTAAATATCAGCAGCTGCATTGCTGTGATAAGAAATACTGTGGCACATCAAGAGTGACTGTACAGGTAGCTTTATTTTTAAAAATTGTACTCTGCAGCTCTATTACTTGCATTTATATAAAAAAAAACTTTTTGAAACGATATTGTGTTTTTCACTCATCTGCTTCCTGTTTCCTTCTGGTGGTCAAAATCTGTACTCAATTCCTACGGACCATATGCCAAGACTACTCTCCCACTTCTATCACAGAAAAATTTTTTTCTTTTTTCTCATCCACTTCCCTATAAATAATTACTTCTGTTGATAACCCACTTATGTTTCAAAATGGGTACAGATTGGACTTGATGATTACTTCACATTTTCACGATTATTTCTCACATTTTCATTAATAGTTTCATTGATCATTTTTTTATCCTTTCCCCAATCATATATATACGAGAAACACTGAATTTTAGAACTTATGAGGATTTAGAGAGCCACTGTTTAAACTTTTTTTTTTTTTTGAGACAGAGTCTCGCTGTGTCACCCAGGCTGGAGTGCAGTGGCGCGATCTCGGCTCACTGCAAGCTCCGCCTCCCGGGTTCACGCCATTCTCCTGCCTCAGTCTCCCGAGTAGCTGGGACTACAGGCGCCCGCCACCACGCCCGGCTCATTTTTTGTATTTTTAGTAGAGACGGGGTTTCACCGTGTTAGCCAGGATGGTCTCGATCTCCTGACCTCGTGATCCGCCCGCCTCGGCCTCCCATAGTGCTGGGATTACAGGCGTGAGCCACCACGCCCGGCCCTGGGTTAACTACTTCCTAAGCAGGAATCAATCAGCCTCCTGAAAATTAAAAAAAAAAAAAAAGTTTTATTTATGTGAGAATATTGATCAGTCAGGGTCCAGTTGACTAAAACCACACCAGCTAGTTGAATGGAGGGAATTCATCTGAGGAATCATTACCTAAAAATAAAACGTAAAAGGAAAATGCTATATAGCACTGTATTATGGAAGAAGCAAGTACAGGAAATAACCACAACCTCTAGTGCTCAGAAGAAAAAGAAACAATGGCATAAACTTAGAAACTTAAGGGAGGGTCTCACAGACAGGAAGTCCAGGGAGGCAGATAGAAAGAAACAACTTTCTTCATTTTTCTCCAGCCCTGCAGCCTCCCTCTCATACCTTTTATTGGCAAAGCCAAACAGGAAGACAGTTGGCAAAGCAGAATGCAGTGGTCTGAGTTCCAGCTCCACAATGGCCAAGCACAATAGAGAAGGTTGGGCTTTAAGCTGACAGACAATGGCTTAATAATTCCCACAGAGTTTCTACATTTTTATAGGGAGACCATCCATAGCTTTAGTTTCTCAAAGGAATGTGTGACCCTGACATGATTAAGAATCACTGGATAGCAGAAAAAATAAAAAGAACCTCATGCTAGCAAGCTGGGGTCCTTCCCACTACTTTCCACTGTTTCTTCCATTCCTTGGTTAGTTACACTCCTACTAACAAGAAGGTATCTTAATGTAAATTTCAAACATCATCATCCTCAGAACACATTAGGTGGAGGATGTGGTAACCAAAAATAAGAAACAAGAAAAAGCTTTATTCACAAACTATGTCCACAAGGAAATCTATACAATTTCCAAAACCAAACCATTATTTTTATTATAATAAAGTCTACAACTTCATCTTTTGTAGTCAAGCATTATTCTTCAGTTTTAAAAAACATATTAAAATTTATTGGACCTACAGATGATTTAACATGGCTTGGCATATTGAAATACATTTTAAATTAGTAATTTAAAAATCATCCGATTTTTTTCCTGCCTGTTAATACTTATAAATATTCCTTTGGAATGCTTCTTGTTACTCATGCATATATAGTCAACTTGGGTATGTTGTAAAGAGAAAATTTGAGGAAAGAGTCTAGGTTAGGAGTGTTCAAAGTTTTCATCATGATCATTATATTAATATCCAAGATGGTTTAGCAACCTTGAACTTAATATTCAAAAAGAGTTCAATAAATGATGTGTAATAAATTCATACTTGACATTCAAATGGGACCAATATAGTATGAGTGTTAAACAAACCTTTCTAGAAATAGAGATGCTCAGTAAGTTGGATGTGCTGTTATGTTTTGGAATCGGCCCATCGTAGGCAGATGCTGAGAGTTCTGGGAATAGGGTTGCCATTAAGGAGAGAGCTGGCAATAGTTAGAAAGTCTATTTGGTCTCAAGTAAATGGATGCTTTGTCATAGCTTGTCTCTAGTCCCAAGGTAGGAATTGCAGAAGAAAGATAAACTCAAGCAGAAGTGCTGTCACATTGACCAAAATAACTAAAAGGAGATTAAAGCAAAAGTACACTCGGCTCCTACTTAGTCATCCAGGGCACTGGATATGGATTTTGCCATAGCAAGATTACTATCCACTGCTGGTGAGAAAGGGGCTTCTAATTCATCATTAGACCTGGTTTACAATTTAGATTGAGCTGCAGGTAGCATTAAACAGAATTGAAGAAGGGACCAATGGTCATAACATGAGATCCATGGAAAAATAACAGCTAGAATGGTAGATAGATCCAAATATAAAATGCAGCATCTTATTAAATGAAATGAGAAGTAAAACACTCTAGTGATGAGAATTAGAGTACTGCTGAGTTTGTTGCACAAGGTAAACTCTGAAACATTCCTTCACCTCAAAGGCAGAATAATTCCACGTGGATACCATTTTATATGTTCTTCATATTATAGATACAAAGCACATGCACTACACATGTGAGTTTGCCATGGCAATCTCAATCCCAAGATTATGAAGAGGCCCAGGGAAGGGCATAGGCTTCCTTCATCTTGGAATCCTCATTACCTGGCACCAAGCCTGGCACACAGGAGGCATCCATACAGTAGGGTGAGTTTGTTGAATTTCAATGTGTTTTCAAAACAGATTCAATTCAATCAAACAAGTAAAAATGTCCACTTAATCCTGTTAAATTCTCATTACTCTGAGACAACAGATCCAACTTATCAAATGCTATATTTTAAGATCTAAAAGGACCTGAAAATCATCTATTTTACCAGTTCTTGAAATTCCAAATTCTGTCTTCACCCATATGCATGTATACATACAGATACAAAGTAAATATATATATAAACACATATTTACATTTACAGACATATATATTTGCGTTTAATTTGCATTTCTGGTGAATTATTTTTCTTAAATTTTCATTTGTTTTATTCGTTTGTTCAACAGATAAGCCTTGTTGTTCAACAGATAAGCCTTGTGCTCAAATTCATGTTTAAGAAGGCATATAAGGTTCAAAAAGAGGCAATAATTTTCATTAGGATTTTAGGAAATATCATAATGGCAGCAGTTAGTAGAGGCTATTTTATTGCATTCTCAACCCAGAATACGGTACATCTCTTTAAACTCTGTACCCATTTGTGGATGCTGTTGACAGCACTATTCCTGAGGATTCAATAAATAGATAAAAACATACCAATAAAAATGTTACTTTAAAAGTAAAATACCAAATACATTGAGAACAAAAATAAAAATATAAGTAAATAATAGTTACAGATTTAACATTTAAGTTTTTTTAAAAAAATTAATTTTGTAAAGGAATTAGAAATTTAAAGTTCAAATTGATAATTCTTATTGAAAATGCTATTCCCAACAAGCCACATTATGAGCCACTGTTTGGACAACAAATATTCATTCATACAGAAAATATTATCTATCAAACAACTCACTCAATTCTAAGGATAAAGTGGTAAGCAAGACAGGCAGGGTCCCTGTACTCACTGAATTTACCTTTTAATGGGGAAAATACGTAACAAATAAATCAGCTTTACATGAATTAAGTTCTGAAAATTATAAGGAAATAAACAGAGTGCTATAATACCAAACATAAGCTTATATAATTTTAGGCTCAGGGATCAGCAAAATAATCTAAGATAGGAAATAATTTGAGTATTTGGGAAGCCTGGGTGTGTTGGAAGCTTAGAGGAAAACATGAGAGATGCTATGAAATGGGGATGGAATGAGCTCAGAGCCTGGTGGGTACTGGAATGGGCTTCGGACTTCATTCTAAAGGGAAACAAATAGAAACTTCTAAGCAGGAGCATGATATAATGTGATGGATGTTTAAAAATAGGATCGTAGACATTTTTTGGAGACTAGATTATAGGAGGACAAGGATAAAACTAAGGAGACCCCACAGAAGTCTACCTCAGAAGTCTGGGTAAAAAGTAATTTGGCTTTCAATAATGTTCTGGCAGTGGAGATAGAAATAATTAGTGAAACTGAGATTAGCCAGGCGATAGTGGCACACGCCTGTAATTCCAGCTACTTGGGAGGCTGAGGCAGGAGAATCACTTGAACCCGGGAGGCAGAGGTTGCACTGAGCCGAGATCACGCCACTGCACTCCAGCCTGGGCGACAGAGTGAGAGCCTGTCCCTGCCCCCCTGCCCCCCAAATAACACCTAAGAAATGGTTAATTTAGAATCGAGTTATGAAAAAAATGAGTAATTAAGGATAGTTTCTGATTATTAACAGGAGCTGGGTGAGATGGTGAATACAGTGAGACATATAGGTTTAAATGTTGGTAAGATAAGGTAGAGATATTATGTAAGAAGTAGGACATAAAAAATCAGGGGTGTCAAAGTCTGGAATGAGACAAACACAATGTTTAAGTACATAGAAGATTGGGCAAGAGGATAGGTATAAAAAGGATGCTATCCTAAACCCGGCCCTAGTGATTCCAAGACCTAGAAAGCAAGTCATGCAAGATACTCCATCACGGGAATTTGAGAAGAGAGAAGGTCATTGAATTGTAGTTAAAACAAGAATCTGTGGTGTTAGAGAATCCTGAGGAATAGAAGGTTTTAAGAAAAATAAAGGTTGAGATGAGGGGTGAATAGTAACATCATATGAGGACTAAGTAGTCTCATTGGAATTGGAACCATTGGGATCAAATGACCTTTACAAGAACAGATTTGGCAGGGCTATGAGGAGAGGCTGAACCTTGTGTGTTGAAGAATGGACATGAAATGGAAATGCGGCGAAAGGAGGGTAAGCTGCTTTCTGGAGGATATTTTTGGTGTACAGAAAGTAAAATTGTGCAGGAGACGGAGAGGAGTGCAGTGTGGGGAAAGGGACACCAACTCAGTGTCCAACACAAAGCTCCCTAGTGAGGACATTGCGTGTAGCTCACTTTCCAATCCCAGGCTATAGTTTTCAATATTTGTTCATATTGTTCTTTACAGGACCCCAAATATTGTGCCAGGTACTTTTCTGCTTCTCTGCTTCCTTTACTCTTCTGGTAAAGGCTTATTCTGGCTCTGCATCTTAAAATACTGTTCTATCTCCTAACCGCCTGTACTACTCCCAAACTCAACTCTCATCTCCTGTGCACCGTGAAGGTTTCCCTGGGATTCCAATAGGTCATGAACTGATTGGAATAATCAATAAACTCTGAACCATTCACTGCTTGCACCTCCTGGAAGTTAAGGTCTCAGAGAGAGAAAGAACTGTGCTCACAATTCCAGGAATGTCCAAATTCTACACTGCCCAAAACTTCTGTCTTTGTTTTTCTCCTTTAGTTGAGAGAGAAAGAAGATTGAGATATTTATTTATTATACTCAAGGAAAATTGTATAAAAGATCAAAATACTGTATTATATCTCATTTCAGGGCCTCAAAGAAACTTTGTAAGAGAATATTCTTTAAGCTCAAGAATAAACAGGGCCTCCTCTTCCCCTAAATTGAGACTACCTTACTCAGGATTTTCTGAGGTACATGGAGGGAGAGAGAGAGAGAGAGAAAGGGAGAGAAAGAAAAAGAGAGACACACAGAGAGAACATGAAAAAGAGAGAGTGAACCAGCTTTACTTAGAGAAACCTGACTTTTTTTTTTTTTATCACCCAGAAGAGGTGGAAAATAGAACAAGAGACATTTCCTAGGTATCTTTATGACATGGGACCAGAAAATGTGAGATGGAATTTGCAGCCAAAAATACAAGTAGGAGAATAGAGTTTATGTGCTTTGGAGCTCAGATTTTGATTACTTCTACTAGTAATCTCTGCCAAATCCATTTCTCCATCTCTAACCAAGAATATTAGCAAGTTTTCCTCTCATCAAATGGCCAACCCAAGGTGGGTCTGCAGTGAAAGAAGAAACCAACCCCTACCTCCACTCCTCTTTCTTGGCCACATCCTCAGTCTGCACCAACAGTCCTTATGGCAGTTGATGTTTAATGTGCTTTAATGTTCAATGTGTTTCTCTTTTCCTAAATACGATATAAACTTATCATAAGCAAAAAAAATACTAGGTTCCTGCCTGTATAAGTACTTTTGTGTGTGTATTTTTATTTCTTTAGGGCTCTGTAAAGTGAACATCAGTGCAATCCATCAACATATTCAAAAGACACAAATTATTACATGCTTGAAAACAAGAAATAGTTTCCAGTATAGTACTGGATGACTTTATGCTAGACTTAGTTTAAAGATCATACCTCTAGATTACATATCTCTTAGTCACAGGTCATACCTCTAGACTGCAATTATTTCCCTGGAACTACTTGAGGAGCAAGTTTTTTAGCATCCTCTATTTCCATGAGCTAGTAACTCAGGCAGCGTACCTATGTGCATGGATTGAGGAATGAATAGAAATGCTCCCTCAAGTAGGTTGGATCTCCTGAGGTAAATTTTATATATATATAAAGGTGAGCTGTTCTAATATCTTTTATCCACAGTGTTCATCATCTCTTTCTGAGTAGATAAATTTATCTACATGAATTAAGATTGGATAATTAAGAACTATGATTATAGCATATTGACCAATTGAACACCCTAAAAATAAAATTTAGAAAAGCATTTTCCAAATTGTAATTTCTACAGTTATTAGGTGGTCCATTAAGAAAATGAAAAGGCTACACATAAAAAAAAAGCCACCCATGTTAACAGACTTACAATGTACATTAGTATAGCACATGATCTAAGAAGAAATCTGTTAGAAATATTGACTTAGGGAAATCTCTTGGCCAGGTGCCATGGCTCACACCTGTAATCTCAGCACTCTGGGAGGCTGAGAAGGGAGGACCGCTTGAGCCCAGGAGTTTGAGACTAGCCTGGGAAACACGGAGACCCTGTCTCTATAGATAATTTAAGAAAATAGCTAGGCATGCTGGTACACACCTGTGGTCCCAGCTACTCTGGAGCCTGGGTGGTCAAGGCTGCAGTGAGCTGAGATTGCACTACTGTACTCCAGACTGGGTGACAGAATAAGACCTTGTCTTAAAAAGAAAAAGGAAAAAAAGGGGGGGGAAATCCCACTGATATTTAGATAGGGTCTTCTTGTCATTTCTAACTTTTGTTTCTTTGTCAATACTGTTCTCTTCATCTGGTCCAACTTCTCTCCTTCTCTGTGTTTCTCAGGAGGAGACAGTCTATATCAGTGGCTTAACACCATATTCCTCTGCCAGAGAGGGTGACTCTCCAGGACAGCTGTCCTCCCTGTGGCATTCCACAGCAGCAACCCCCACACACTCACCTACTTCTGCCTCGTTGCTTGGCCATCTGACCATCAGACCTCCATTTTTGTCATGGCATTGGAGGAAGAAAACATAGAAAATTGCTTTGGAATTTTCAACTGCCTTATCTTGAAAGAGACACATACATCTCTTCTTCTCACTTTTTCTGGAAAGAATTAGTCCTGTGGCCCTGCCTAGCTTCAAGGAGACTGAAGTTTTCCTCCTTTGTCCAGGAAAAGAAAGTGAACCAGATATTGGTGAGGATTAGAAATGTCTACCGTAATCTACAAATCTTGTCTGTGTTTCCATGATTAAGCTACCAATATACACAACTAATTTATTCCAGAAGCATTCCTTGTCACGAATGAGTTTTGAGCTAGTCCTAGAAATGATTATATCATTTCTGCTCTGACTGGGTATAAAACTCTCAGCATGCACAATCCTATTCATTTTAGTTGCTGCCTTAAGTACAAGTCTCTCCATTCATCTACCATCACTACTAAAGTTATCCTATTTTTGTTACATCACTACCAATGTTATCCTATGTCATAGTTACCCCCAGATCAAAGCAAGTCTTCCACTTTTTAGGACCAGGTGAAATTGTAGCTTGGTCTGAAGTCAGATGCCCTGATTTTGAATCCTGACATCAATATTTACTAGATATGTAACCATGGGAAAATTACTCAACATTTCCATGCTATGAGTTCCTCATTTATAAAATTGAGACAATTTAGCATCACCTTGGGAAGTGACTATTAGAATTAAATAAGAAAATATATGTAAATATTAACGATATTAGGAAGGGTGTTATATTTTAAGCCTTAAGATAGTTCTTCCATCTTCATATGTTAACTGAAAACTGGTTCTCACTCTATGAAGCTTGGATTTTTGTTTTTGTTTCTTCCATGTCCCTTTATACCACAAGGACAAAAAGTTTGTAGAGTGCTCTTGCTCTTGGTTACATCATCTAAACAATATTTTCCTCCTCTTCTTCCTCTAAAGAAGAAAAAGTCTTGAAAAAGCCATATGCTTTCAAGCACACTACTCTTCTCTAATCTTTCTGTTTACCAACGTCTTTGTCACTTTCCTTACATTAAAGACGTTAACTTGTGACTCCTAATACTTCCTGGGTGACTCTTTGTCATGTACCTCTTCTCAGTCCTGTACCTCTGGATGTCAAATGACTTTTACTTTCATTCAGCCTCAAATTCTGTTCCCATATTTATACCATAGAGATTTATATGCTCCCCAAAATGCCTTAACTTGGAATATTTCATTCCTCTACTGTCACCTCTGATTTTTCTGATTCACATTTTTATGTATCTACATATTAGCAATGCTTTCACTTTACCAAGACACCCAATCCATTAATCATATTACTTTTTAATAAATATCAATAGCCTCATTCCATCTTCATGTTTCTTCTTGCCCAGGTTATATTTCATGCTCAAATATTACAATTGTGCCCTTGAAAAATACTTAAATCCCTTATCTCCCTTTTCTCCTTTATACCCAAGTAAAAAACAATCCTAGATGAGACCAAATATCCTCCTTTTTCGTTGCTACATGAAAGCATCTACACATTTCTAAAGGAAATCATACAACTGACTGAGCAGTTTCACTTGAAATCTTTGATGAAAAACATCACAAGGACTTCAATATTTCTTGGAAATAGTTTGTTGGCTTTTTAAACTATTCTTGTTTTCCTATTCTCCTTTAAAATGATGCATCTACCACTACCACCCCCTACAGGCACATTCAGTTAATAACCTTATCTAGTCCCAATCCCCCCAATTACAATAGTATGTGTCCCTTCTCTGAAGTTTGGTCAATCAGCCCTCTTGCACTCTAGGTCCCACTTTGTATAACTTTCTCAAGGATTTCCCTCTTTCAGTTATCTCTTTTCTGATCTACATTGTTAATGCTCTTTTCTGGATTATTCCTATTGAAGCACAAATGTGCTCTACTATTCTATAAAGTCCTTCTATTCTAAAAATTCCTCCATGACCCCATCTCTTCCCTCCACTACCTTTTGCATTTCAAAACTGGTCTGAATGAAAGAGTTGTCTATACACAAAATCCCCAGTTTTTTACTTCCCATTTAGTCTTAGATTTCAATCTGATTCTCACTCACACTCTTACAAGAAAATCAAAAATATGCAAGAACTCCAGACAACTCTATGACTGGCATGCTGCATGTCATTTGGAATTCTTTTTTTTAGTTTTCATTTCCCTTTACTTTGCAGTAGCCTTTGACTCTGTTGATCTTCTGAGCCTGAAACTTTCTCCTTTCTTGGCTTTCAAGGTGACACAGTCTCCTAGTTTCCCTTCTACCTCATTTTCCCTTTCCTAGTATTCTTTATTTGCTCCTCATTCTTGATTCAACATCTAAACTTTAGAATTCCTCAGCATTTAGTCTTATGTCTTATCATTTCTCTCAAATGCTCTTCTCTGTGACCCAATTTATTCACATGGCAAAGCTATAATTTATATATTTTTAAGTTTTATTTCATTCTTAACTGACATAATAATTATATTTATTTATGGGGTACAGTGTGATTTTTTTTATACATATATACATTGTATAATTATATCAGGGTAATTAGCATATCCATCACCTTAAACACTTATAATTTCTTTGTAGTGAAAACATTCAAAAATTATCCCTTGTAGACATTTTGAAGTTTACAATATTTAATTGTTGGCTATAGTCACCTGACTGTGCAACAGATGAATGAATTTTTAAAATGTAGTATGTGTACACAATGCAATACCATTTAGCCATAAATAAACTGAAATTTTGTCACTTTCAACAACATGGATGAAGCTAGAGGACATTGTCTTAAGTTAAATAAGCAAGGCACAGAAGTACAAGTACTGCATGATGTCAGGTAAATGTAGAATCTAAAAATGTTGACCATTGACCTCATAGAAGTAGACAGAAGAATGCTGGTTACTAGAGGTTGGGAGAGTACAGGGTACAGAAGATCAGGAAAGGTTGATCAATAGGTACAAAGTTACAGGTAGATAAGAGAAATAAGTTCTGGTGTTCCATTTATGTTTTTGACTCCTTATTGTAATATACCCAGCCTAGCCATTTCAATATTTAGATTAATATGCCCAACAGCCCTTTTGCCATCTCTACTGAACTGTCTTATAGATATTTTAATCTTATTACGTTCAACACAGAGTTTTAATTTCCCCACCAAATCCTGAGAATATCCCATTTTTCCCACCTGAGTTGTACTATGTGACTATCCAGAGAGATCCTCAAGTCAGAAGCCTTAGAGCCTTCTTGTTTTTCTCCTTCCCTTACTCCAACATCTCATCTATCAGCAAGCCTGATATTTCCTGAATCTCCCTGCATTTCCCTAGATTCACTGTCACTTTCCCAGCTCAAAATTTCATCTCTTCCCAGCCCGGCAATAACGTTATTAGTATTCATTGTTTCACTCTCACACCTCTTCTAATCTATTTTCTTCCCAGTATCAGAATGGTGTTTTCAGTGTATATCAGATCTTGTTGCTCTAATATTAAAAAGCCTTTTTTTAACTTATTAGTCCTCATAGGATAAAATGCAAGCTTCCTTATGTTCTACCAGGCCCTGCTTAAACAGGGCCAGTTTATATACCAGTCTATCTGGTACAATTATTAGCCTGGCTCATTTCACTCCTGGTGCATTGACCTTATATCAGCTCCATATCAACAATCAATTCCTTCTCAAGTCAGGATCTCTGCTAAAATCTAATTCTCACTCTTCCCTCAGGTCTCAGTTTAGATGCCATCTCCTTAGAGGGGAAAAGGCAAAAGAATTGGCATATGTTGCTAAAAATTTATGCAGTGATCTTGTTGCAATGATCAGTTTCTTGACCTCAATAGAAAACAAATTGCTCAGTTAAGATTCATCTTATTTTTGGCATATTCATCAACTCTGTACCTTAAAATTCAATGCCTCAACTATGCTCCCTGATGGAAACTCTAAGAAAACCTTGACCTGGACATCTTTTTGTAATATAATAATTGAAAACCCCATTACCAACATGAGCACTGGCAGAATCAAGATATAACACAATTCTAGGTGAATTCACATAATGAAAATCTAGAGCATCATCTAACTAAAGGCATAGAATTTTCAGACATCTCAGAGTATATCTCAAAATATACACATATTTTAAATAGTTATTTGGAATATCAGTGAAAAGAGTGGGAAAAAATATGTAACCAATAAGCCTCAGCTAACTCAAAGTAGACAAAAATCTGCCTCAACATTTGGATCTTCAGAATCAAGGAAAAGGAATCTTCTTTTATATACACTAAACCAAAAGACATTATTTGGGAAGTAAATCAAAAGCTACCTTCTTGAACAAGATTTCAAGTCTGGGGAAGTATTTGCAAGGTGAGAGAACATTCTTGTCAGTATAAAGCATAATTTCGACATATCAGATTAGAAATAAAATGAGAGACCCAGAGTGAGGAAGAGTGTTAATTTGAGTGAGGCTTTATTCCATCTTTTAATTTCTGATGATTAATCTCTAAAGTAGTGCAGATAATGTGAGCAATGCATGCTACAGAAGGGAAGCAGTGTTTATGATTTAAACATTGGATTTTGTGGTAAAGGAAGAGAATAGGAAAGAGTGATTTAGTAATTTTGACAGGCATGCCAATAATGATTCTGTGGCATGAAAAGGGATGAGAGTGGAGGGAGAAATTGATGATGTAATAGAAACACCAGAGAAGCTCTCATTCCTGTGTTTCTGGCAAGAGAAACAGAGTCAAATTTATTCTAATATTTTAGAGAATCTGTTCAGGAAAAACAGGAGGATATGAAACTTGACAGTCTTATTGCTCACTACATAACAAAGCAGTTTCCCGAATAGCACAGAAATGTTACGTGATTGGACAGGAAAAGTAATGTCATTATTAAAATGATTGCTAAGGCACCAGAAAGGTTAAATCTAATTATGAAATTACCAGGTTCCACCCACTAACCTCTGTTCATCCTGAGTTAGCTTCAGTATGAGTCTACATTTTTATAATCTCAAAAGTGTGGCATGAGGTTTATTTCTGAAGTGATAGCATTGCATATAAAATTTCATTAATACCAAATACTTCAGATGACATAGTGTGACAAAAGTCTTGGATAGTCAAGAGAATGGCTGAGTGAAGGAGAGAAACGACAGCTGAATACAAATGAACTCAGCAAGAGGTATCTAAAATTTCAATATGAAAGAAGGCAACATAGAGAAGCTAGAAATCAGAATAAAGACATTTTGCTACTGTTTCATAATAAACAATGATAACCAGCTGCTGTTTACAACACGCATGATTCTATGAAAAACAGTCATTTTTTCATCACCTCTGGCATTTATTTTAACCCCTGCTGTGGTGGTGTGATATATGGAGGCACATCAAGTCTTATTTTTTCTGTGATTTTGAGTCATTAAATATTTGAGTGCTAGTTGTTACTCAGATGAGAGCCAAAGCATTTGGCAATTAATAGCAAATGGATTTGGAAAGGGGTAGGGCCTCACTAGTATAACTTCCTAAAACAGTATCTATAATAAATGTAAATTTCTCCTGAATTGTAACTGTTTACATGGAAATCTAGCATAGAGTAGGATCCTAAAATAGCCAAATGGAAAAACCCTAGAAAGATATCAATTCAATAAATAATTGGTATTGATTTTTTACATTTTGTTATTGAGTAGTTAGTTTTTGTAAGCAACGGATGCCTAAAACTGTGAGCCTGTGATACAGTTGATCAGACCCAGGCTCCTTTTAGTTACCAAGGAAACCATTTCATAGACATTCACATAAATAAACTGTAGACAGTGGGAGGAAACACCATAAATACAGAAACGGTTTCACTTGATTTTTTATTGCTATGAGAAAAACTCTCTCTTCCTGTGGCCATACATGCACCAAAAAAAAAAAATACAGAAACATGAGGGCAATACCTTGTACATGACACATGCAGGTAGGGTAATTACTGCTTTTATTCAAAATGTGAAAATTAACGTTGGAAATGTCGCTCAAATTGCCAAAGTTTTCCAAATCTGACATGATCATAACGAAGACTTATTTTCATTTGAATTTTAATGGTTTTCTCACCTACCTATTCACAAAAACAGGTCTTGTATTTTACTTCTTTTATACACCTACATCTCAGGAAAAACAAGTAGAGACCATTTTTTCTCTTGGAAATTTTGTAATAATAGCCTAACAAAGAAAAGCTCAGGAATGTTGCAAGGTTGTATTCGCAAATCGTTTGTCTGAGTTGGCTGCAAGACGTATCTCAGGCTGTGATGATATGCACAGACATTTTTCTGTGCACATGATCTCTGAAAATTATCAGACATCTAAATATAAATCAAATCAAATGAAAACAAAAACAATTTTTAAAAAAATCTGCTTTTTAGGTAGAATAACAATTACATGAGTTGATATTTTATCCCTCTCTTCAGTGATTCTTTGCCATTAGGTACCTACCTCAACCTGTTTAATTAAAGGGTAGAGTGGACTCTTTTGTTTTGGCTGGCTTGCCACACTGCCCACGTCCTGTGTTAGTATATTCCTCCGTTTTCCTTCATTGTACTAGCTGCTTCCTAATTCCAGGACATTATCCGGCAGGCCTGATGAGACGCACTGCCCCCAGGGTGTAGAGGTGAGCCTTGATCCAGTCTGTTTCTCCATCAAAGTGACACAGTTAGATGTTGCTTGGAGCCCAGTTCCTGCTGTGAAAATCCCCGCTGCTTCTTCTGTACCCATCCTTTCTGAGGTCTGGCTTTCAGGATTTTTAAAAATTCTACCAGCTCCTCTCCAGCCTTCCAATGTATTTACCTTTTCCTTTAAATTTACTAGAGTAGGTTTCACGTAAGTTGAGCCAAAGAACTCCAAAAGATGACCCAGTAAGGTGCTGACCACTGCAGCAACGAATATTTTGTTTTAATAACAATTACCATAGCTTCCTCATAATCATCAATGCAGAAAATGTTCTATATTCACAAAACTTTCCTGAGTGACTTTATTCTAAGTCAATGTATTATTTTTAACTATCATCGTATCCAGAACTAAATAGAAACTTTTATTTAGTTTTAAGGAACACAATCTATTTCTAGAAGTCTAGTTTTGGAATAAAGATATATGTTCAGCCGCTTTATGTCATTTATTATATTAAATGCTAAGATTTTACTCATGTTCAATAGTGAACAGAGTGATCAATGCCCAGCAAACTTCCGATTGAGTCCCACACGGATTTCAGCGAATAGAAAACCTCTCTATTCAGAAAACATTTATAAATCTAGGAAAAGATGGTGCAAACTTGTAACTATGCAATCATCAGGTATTTATCAAATGTCATTATGGGCCAAGCATTGTCTAGTCAGTGTCTGGATAGAGCAGTGAGCAAAAGGAACAAGATTTGTGTTTTATGCTTACAGTATACTAAGAACTGTAATATAGTAATAATATATTTACTTGTAGTACAAACTTATAATAAGACTTACTATAAGAGTATATTATATATTTATAATATAGTAAGGATGACATTATATCCCTGTAATATAGTAAGGACTATATTATATCCCTGTAATATAGTAAGGACTATATTATATCCCTGTAATATAGTAAGGACTATATTATATCCCTGTAATATAGTAAGGACTATATTATATCCCTGTAATATAGTAAGGACTATATTATATCCCTGTAATATAGTAAGGACTATATTATATCCCTGTAATATAGTAAGGACTATATTATATCCCTGTAATATAGTAAGGACTATATTATATCCCTGTAATATAGTAAGGACCATATTATATCCCTGTAATATAGTAAGGACCATATTATATCCCTGTAATATAGTAAGGACTATATTATATCCCTGTAATATAGTAAGGACTGTAATATAGTAATAATATACTTACTTAAATATAGTAAGAACTTATAGTAAGACTTACTATACTTATCATATAGTAAGACTATATTATATCCTTATAACACAGTAAAACTATACTATATCCTTAAAATATAGTAAGAAAATTCTATTTTGCTTAGGAGTACAAGCAATTACCAATATAGCAAGTAAAATGATCACCAAGTCCTAAAGGGCAGAAAAGCAAGGAAGAAGCACATCAGAGAGTGGTCAAGGAAAGCCTCAGTGAAAGGGACTTTTGATTAAAGATCTGAACTAAGAGAAGGAGAGAGCCATGGGGATATTTGACAACAGATGGAAGAGAATTAACTTTATCACTGCTATTTTACAAAAATCTTTTCCTAATGCTAAATAACTCAGTGATTTAAAAGAATGCTGGAGAGATGCTTTTGACAGATAGAATGGCAAGGGCAAGGCCCTGAAGTCTTGAAGAGTTTAATGTATCTGAAGGAAAAAGGGTCCAGGTGTGAACTTAGTGAGGATGGCATTTTAGTGGAGCAGAAGGAATTTGAGCCTGAGATTAAGTTGGGAAGGAAGAAAGGGCCAGATTGCAAAGAACCTTGAAGACCTGTTAGAATATGTATTGCATTCTAAATGAAACGAGAAGTCGTTAAAGGTTTAAAAAATAGGTAAGGGAGACAAGGAAACATTTAGAGGTGATGGATATGCTTATTGTCTTGATCATGAGTGATGGCTTCACAGGTGGATATATATGTTCAAACCCATCAACTTTTATACATTAAGTATATGCAGGGGTTTTTTTTATTTCGAATACATCTAAATAAAGCTGTTAAAAATTTTTAAAGCAGGAAAGTGATATGATTCAATTAATATTTTTAAAAACTTGCTCTTCATCTTTCAGGAACTGGAAGTGAGTAGTTTACAAAAAGAACTGTACAACCAGTTAGAAAATGTTCTCTTTAAGTCAGATTTGCTCAAACTCATGTTGGATATTTAGTTTTGAGGAAAATGTGTGGATGCAAGCTTCTTTTCTGAGAAACAGTCAATCTTGGTTCAACTTTAGTACATCAGAGAAGCCTTCTTTAACCATGATATTGAGGAGCATCCAGCCCAAAATCAAACCATTATCTATCAAGATAGATACTTTATTTAATTCTCACAGCACTTATCACTACCTGTATTCATCTTTTTATTCATTGTATACCTCCCTTCACTGTAATATAGTCAATATGATGGTAGGAGCTGGTCTGTGTTACTCACTTTTGTAAATTAATAGAAATTTTCCTTTAAAGCAGTTTTAGATTTACAGTAAAGCTGACTACAGAATACAGAATGTTCCTGTACACCCCCACAACACAGTTTCCTCTATTACTAATATTTTGCATTAGTGTGACATATTTGTTATAAGTTATAAGCCAATATTCAGTCCTTATCATTAACTCATGTCTGTAGTTCATATTAGGGTTCACTCTTTGTGTTATACATTCTATGGGTTTTGACAAATGTGTAATTGCATATGTCTACCATGACAGCATAATAGAGAATAGTTATACTATACTGTGTTCCATCTATTCATCTTTCCCTTTGTCCTACCTACCTCCTGACAACCAGTGATCTTTTTTTTATTGTCTCTATAGTGTTGGCTATTCCAGAATAGCATATGGTTGAAATTATACGCATGTAGTCTTTTCTGGTATGCTTTGTTCGCATATCAATATGCATTTAAAGTTCCTCATGTCTTTTTGTGTTTTGATAGCTCATTTATTGTTATAGCTGAAAAATATTCCATTGTAAGAATGTACCATAGTTTGTTTACCTCTTCATCTTTTGAAGAATATCTTGGTTACTTCCAAGTTTTGGTAATTGTGAATAAAGCTGTTATAAACATTTGCGTGCAGTTTTGGTGTGAACGTAAGTTTTTAACTAATTTGGGTAAATATCAAGGTGTGTGAGTGATTGCTGGATCATATGGTAAGATTATATTTAGTTTGGTAAGAAACTGCCTACTGCCTTCCAAAGTTGCTATTACATTTTGCGAGACGGAGTCTTGCTCTGTCAGGCAGGCTGGGGTCCAGTGGCCCGATCTCGGCTCACTGCAACCTCCGCTTCCCAGGTTCAAGTGATTCTCCTGCCTCAGCCTCCCGAATAGCTAGGATTATAAGTGTGTGCCACCATGCCTGGCTAATTTTTGTATTTTTAGTAGAGACGGGGTTTCGCCATGTTGGTCAGGCTGGTCTCAAACTCCTGACCTCGTGATCTGTCTGCCTCGGCCTCCCAAAGTGCTGGGATTACAGGCATGAGCCACCGTGCCCAGCCGAGCATTTTTCATATGCTTGTTGTCTGTGTGTTTGTCTTCTTTTGAAATGTGTCTATTTTCTTTCATAAGTATACTCCTAGTGTAAGACACCTGTCAAATAATTTGCATTTATGAGTAAATCGCTTCCCTAGTATATGGGAGGAGAACCCTACTAGCACAAAGATAACACTTTGAACTTCCTTTGTGCCAGATACAGAGCTAAGTGTTTTGGCTCCATTACCTGACTTTATCTTCATAACAATCCGCTATCTCAGTTAATCTTTGCAATAATCCTAGTTTTTATTACCCCTATTTTATGTATAAGAGGATTGATGCCCATGGAGTTTAAGTTGCACAGAAGCACACATAGAATGTTTTACAGTCAGAATTTTAGATCAGGTCTGTGAAAAATACTCATTTTTTTTTTTTAAGCAAAAACTTCCATAAGTGATGCAATCAAATACACAGAAAAACATTTGGATGTAACCTTTAGTCTCAAAAACTTCACAAATGCTGCCTCCATGTATAGCCTATTTTGTTAATCAGGGACAGAAATTCTATTAGTAGAAATCATCTACAAATATTAGGATTATTTGCCTTCCAGGGTTCCTTTCATACAATTCCAACAAAAGAAAAATGTCACACTGCCACAGGCTTGACTGGGCCAGGCAGACCCAAGAGCAGCTGGTTCTTTTCTTGATTCACATCTGTGTCTAATAATTCATGCCTGACTTTGATGTAGTCATTGGCAAACAATATTTCTCAAAACCCTGAATTTAGCCCAAGAATAGTTTCATATTTTATATTTTTAAGAACTTAACCCATTTCCCCACTTCCCACTATATCTCTTAACACAACTGAGTGTGACTAAAATGACTCAGCATAACCTTAGTAGCAATGTATTTCATTTGTGCAAGTTGTTCTCAAGCACTCTCTCCTATATTGATTCTATTTATTTTTGAATGCTCATGGTTTTTCTTCAACTTATTCTTGTAACAGTTTACCCCATTAGATCCTTCCTAATAGGTAACATTTTATTACCTTTTTTTTAATCCAATCTCTACTCTTGTCTAAGCTTTATACCATCTATAAATAGGAGCAACTCACTCTCTTACATTTATTCAGTCAGCAAACTTTTATTGAAAGCGTAGAATTTTTCTGGCACTGAAAGGTACAAGAGATATAAAAGTAGGTTATTTCAGATCCTAAATTAAAGGTGAAGGGAAGAAAAAAGCACTACAGTTAATAATAATAACAGCTGTAAAATTATAATAAACCCTACCATTTATGGCATCCACTATGCTTCAGATAAGTAATAAGGGCCAGAATTTCAACCTAGATGTTCCAGGATCCAAAGATAGTTTCTCAATTTGTTTGTGCTTTGCTCACATTCAGTAAACAGTAAGAAAATGAGAGTTGTAACAATATAGGACAGCTGAAAGGGAGCTATCAGGACAGTGACATGGGGACATTGAAGCCCTTCTAAAAAGGTTCTTATATTCACAGAGCATATTTTGGATCTTTTTTTTCTCTATGTAATTTCTGTATATTCATTTTAATCTACCTTTATGTTTTTATTCCACTGTACTTTTATGATCTTTTCCATCATATAGTACCATAAATTGTAAGTAGTGTACCATGTTGACTGAACAAGGTCTTCAAAATGGCACGACAGATCTCTCTACAGTTGCTATCCAGAAATTATTCTCTTGAATTACAGGTATTGAGTATTATTGCAATGACACAGCATTTTATTCTTTATTTATCCGGATTATATATAAGTGTAAGAAACCTTGTCAAATCACTTGCTTGTACCTAACCTATGACATCGCATTAGGTCTTTGGCCTAATGAAATAAAAGTTGGGTTCCTAGCAACTAATAACATCTTCTCATTTTACTCCCATAAAACATTTCTTCACGAATGCTTATAATTCAAGCTGTATGAGGCTTTTTGTGTTTTGTTCAATGCTGTATCCCCATATACTTATAAGAGAGTCTTGTACAAGGTAGGTGCTTGCCTACTGTTCATTGAAGTAAATATTTCCTGCAGTACATTTATTCCAACACGTAAAAAACTGGTTTATCTCATATTACTGCAATATGCCTTCTCGTTCATTTTGAAAATTAGAATTAGGGAATACTCTGATTCAGAGGAATAAGAGAGGTAATTCAGACTTGAATCCAGATAATATAAAAGCTTAGTAGGCAATGCAAGCCCTTTTGAGGGAGATTGTGGACTAGCAGACAAGCCAAGGAAATCAGCTGTGAACCCAATTCCAGTAGCAAAAAGAAGTCTCGTTTTTCCAAACTCTCTACTCGTAATAAGACACATAGGATATCAGATTTGAAGTCTTAACCTCTTAAGCAAAGTTCTTTATTGGGATAAAAGAAAAAGCAAGCAGTGGACCCAAAAGCCACCCTCCAATCATTTTTTTCCTGAGATTCTGAAGCAAGATGGTTAGCCACATTGTGTGTACTTGATATTAGATGACACATAATGACTTCTCTCAGACCTTGCCTTGTTTACTCTTTCAAAGAAAGTCATGGTCATGCTGCCTTAAATCATCATCTGAATAACAAACATGTACATTCAAACACCCTAATCTGTGGCAAGGACTCAGCCTTTCGAATTGTGTTATCAGAAGTAGGCATTTATGTTTCAGTGACCCACCGCCTGAAGGTGCTGCAACAGAATTGAACCTTCCTCTCTGTTTTGGTAAAATTGACTCTGGTAACCTTGAACACAGCACATTTTTCAGGTAATAATTGTAGACAAGTTTAAGATTTTGCTTATTTTCTCAGGAGAGTGCTTAGAGAAATAATTTTTGCCCTCTCTAGTCTATTTCTAAAGTAGAAATAATCTCAGACAGAAATCTCATATATATTTTTCCATTTGCAAGTGTCCCCTAATGTACAAAAATCTTTGAAGAGCAGTTATAATGGTTAGTATTCATATTTTCAGTTCCTCTCACTAAGGAAATAGTTAATCTTGGTTCTCAGAACAAACTCGTTTCTCATAATCTCATCAAGGCTTGCAGGCCTTGATTCAGAGCAAACAGTATTCATGCTCCCTTTTATAATATGAAAATACCTTTCCTTCAAATAGAAGAGGAAGAACAACAGAAGTTAAAAAGGACTTCCTCTCTGTCATCCATCATGTCAAAGTACTGGTGTGGTTGTCAACTTTTGAAATTTATAAAATGTTTTGTTTCCTCATAGTCTTTTTTCACCCCAAGTAATTTTTAAAACATCAGTTTATTTTGAAACGTAGTGTTCCTGTTTTTTTGTATATATAAACTACAGTACTATTTTTTTTTCTTGAGCTAGAGTCTGAATTTCCACATTATAGATTGAAAAACCTGAAAACAAACTACTTTATTTCAATCCCTGGAAGATTTGGGAGACTCTTCTCTCATCTCAGTGAACTCTTCCCTCCTAAATTGTCACTAAAAACTATAATGATACATTCTTATCTCTTCCTGGAAATCAGTTCTGATAGTCTGCCTCCAGCTCTGAGATTTTAAACACTTTTAGTCAATATACTGTTTAAAATGTTTTATCATGTAAACAAGCATCAACTGGAAAAGATGATAAATCAATACAATCAGAGAAAAAAGTAACAATATATTTTTAAATGATATAACCAAATCAACTGTTTGAAAAAATTATTTTATAAAATTTTACAAACATCTGATATATTTTTAATCCATACCCTTAGTCTCATTGCACAGTTACAAACACAGTTTTATAAATGATACTGCAAACTCAGAGGGTCACTTTGATAGAGTGGAGAGCTTTGAAGGGGTATAGTGAAACATTCTGATATCAGAA
The DNA here is from genome assembly GCF_000001405.40 of Homo sapiens. NCBI lineage: Eukaryota > Metazoa > Chordata > Mammalia > Primates > Hominidae > Homo > Homo sapiens. Next base: position 18,090,658 of record NC_000005.10, on the reverse strand, counting down.
TTTCTTGTTAGCTGTCAGTACTACTCACTTGTTTGCCTCCTACCAATATAGTTCTCTTGGCTTCACTATATTCATCTGCTATGATCTGAATGTTGGTGTTCCCCTAAAATTTGTATGTTCGAACCTAATACATGAGGTTAGAGGTTCCACCCTCATGAATGAGACTATTGCCCTTATAAAGGAGGCTTGAGGGAGACTGTTTGCCCCTTCCATTATGTGACGACACACAGAAGTTTCTGTCTTTGAGGCAGAGAATGAGTCCTCACAAGACATCAAATCTGCTGACTCCTTGATATTGAACTTCCCAGGTCCAGAATAATGAGCAATGAATTTCTGTTGTTTGTAAATTACTCAGTCTAAGATATTTTGTTATAGCAACCCAAATGGACTAAGACATCATATATAAAACATATTTTACAAACTGTCCTTAAAAAGGTAAAATATGTGAATGTTTATTAAATTATGGAGCACTATGCAATTGCTCCTTCTGTATTCTCAAAAAATGTTCACTTGTAAATATCAAGTGTGTCTTCCTTGTATTCAACATCAGTTATAAATTGTTTTTCCCTTTTTGTTTTATTTTTCCATATACATTTTAGAATCATTCTATCGTATTATACAAGAAATTCTTTGTGGCTTCAATTGCAGTTATGTTGGATCTGCAGATCATTTCCATTTTGGAAAAGTTGATATTTTAACAATATTGAGCCTTTCAATATGTAAAAAGGTACCTCTCCATTTATTACACCTTCTTTGATTTATCTCATCAGTATTTTTTAGTTAGCATATATACAAATCTTATACATATTTTGTAAGATGTGTATCTATTTCATTAGTGCTATTGATCATTGTCCTGTTTTCATTTTATTTCAGTGGCTAATTATTTATTGTTAGCATATAGAAATATAATTGGCTTTGAATATTAATCTTGTAACTGGCCATCTTGCTAAAGTCACTTTTCTGCTTCAGTATTTACATATGTATTCTAAGGATTTTTTTGGTATACAATTTTGGAAAAGCTGCTATTTCTTCAAGTACTTTTTCCTCATTCCTTTCTCTTTCTTGATTTCCAATTACATGTATTTTGGTACTATTTATTGCTTGATGTTTGTCAACATCTTGGCTAGGTTAGGGGAGAAGGAAAAACGTGTTCACTGTTGTTCTGTTTAATCATAGGCACTGAGCCCTGGATTACATGAGTAGGTTACTCTATCTTATAACTGGATGTAGCTCTGGTCCCAGCCTCTTTGACTGCTGCTCCCCAGTGGTAAGATTGTTTTGCTTTTCTGTTCTATTTTCCGAAATGCAGTTAAGTTTCACCTGTGCTTTAAAAGCACCGGGTTCTGTTTTCCTTCCCAAATTGTTTTAAGTCTCTATTTTGCAGGAAAGTGAGGAGAAGGATTGAAGCAGGGCTTCATGCCTTTCACACATTTACTGGACTTCCCTACAGTTCTTTTCTTCAAGGGTAGTGATTCTTTTGCAAGACTCTCACCCTGCCCGTAAACTTATTTGTGAGCACTGGATGAGGTCCATGAAGAAAATCCTATAAGTAGGATATAATACTAGGGCCACATGGGATTCTAGCTCATACTCAACTCTGTGATTCATTAAGCTTTTTAAATTCTTACGAGTGTCTGGGAGTATCTGCCCCATGTAAGCAAATGCTCAAATTCATCAACCTTGAAGGCGACTGCCTTTTCTTGGATTTTGCAACCTCAGTTCTCTCATGTATTCAAGAAAAGTTGTGATTAACTCAATTTCATCATTCCACAATGAATACATAGGTCAAAACATTAAATTGTACTCCATCGATATATACACTTTAATTGTCAATTAAAAATTAATCAATGTTTTAAAAATTAAAAACAAACTTGTAGTTCTACTGGCTGTCTAAATTGTTCCCATTGTTGTTTCGTGAAGGTGGGAGGTGGAAGTAATGGTCTTTTCAACTTTCTACTTCCCAAGCTGAAACCGGAAGTCCCCATAAACTGGAGTTTTGCAATCTTTTTTTTTTTTTTTTTGAGATGGAGTTTCACTTTTGTCTCCCAGGCTGGAGTGCAATGACACCATCTCAGCTCACTGCAACCTCCGCCTCCTGTGTTCAAGGGATTCTCCTGCCTCAGCCTCCCTATGTAATCCCACATAGCTGGGATTACAGGCGCCCACCACCACGCCCAGCTAATATTTGTATTTTTAGTAGAGACTGTTTTTTACCATGTTGGCCAGGCTGGTCTTGAACTCCTGACCTCAGGTGATCGACCTGCCCCGGCCTCCCAAAGTGGTGGGATTACAGGCATGAGCCACCGTGCCCAGCCAAGTTTTGCAATCTTAAAACCAGTTCATTGAAAAAACAAAACAAACTTGGCAAAGAAACAAAACAAATAAATGGTGCTCTTTCTATTTGACATAGCCCTTCCACGTGCAGGTTCATTTGTTTCCTCTCTTTTACAGCTGAATATCTTAAGAGTGGACTATTCTCATTCTCTCCATTTCATGTCACATTGACGTCAATTCATACAATTCAACTCATCATCTCTTCCATTTTGCCACTAAAAGAATTGATGTAGTCACTACTAAAATCACTACACACAATGGACACTTTTTATTCCCATCTTACTTGAACTCTCAAAAACACGTGACATTCTTAATTACTTCCTTCTTTATAAAACTCTTCCTTCCCTTAGCTTCATGACCCCAACCTCCAAGTTATCCACCTACATCTCTGGTTTCAGCTTCTGAGTCTCTTTTTCAAGCTAATTTTTATCCCCTGCTAATATTTAATATTTAATTAAAGACACTAAATATTAGATTTCCACAAGGCTGGAATGAAGGTCCCATTCAATTCTCATTCATTCACCCTATGGCTTCAAGTGCTCACTGTGCAACAAAGACTTCCAAATTTATATACCCAGCCCAGGCTTCTCTTCAGAGCCCTTATTCTAATCAAAATTCCTATTTGAATTTTGATTTAAGACAACATGTTTTATTAATTTTACTTCCTTAATACCTTAGAGTTTGTCCTATTTACTTAAATTTTGAGTTTCATCTTATGATGCAATGCTACCCATTCCATCTCCAGTTCTTTTTACTTGATCCAGACAAGCCATCCATTATTGTCTCAAAACTATCATTCTCCCTTTATTTATAGAGCCTTTACCTATCCTCCTCCTTCTGTATGTAGTATGCCCCTCCCTTTGGCCTCATTGCTTCATTATTCTATTCTAGATGAATTTTATTAAAGGAAGTCTTTCCAAATATAAAGTCTAAATCAGGTTTATCAATTGTTAGATGGTCCCATAGAAAACTAACAGTTTTCTTCAGAGATTGTATCACAGTCTGTAACTGAACATTTAATTCATGTAATTAACAAATGTATGGCTGTCTCCCTCACTGTAGTGTAAGCTCCATGAGGGTTATCTAGAATCATCCTTGAGAATCACTTATGGAATTTGCACTATCACAGAATATAACAAATACTTAGTATTTAATAAATGCTTGTTAAACGAATGCAGTTACCAATTTGAATTTATATATAAAGAACTCATTTTGGCAACAACAGTTTGAAAGACAATATAAATTTAAAAAGGGATTCATTGGATTTATTCTTGAGAATTCCATGGTATTGTCTGTGTGATTAACTCTGAAGTATTACAGTAAATCTATATATAGAGCCCAAATGTTAGAGCCCTTGGGAAAAGTCCTTCTATGCCCATTTATCTGCACTTTGTGCACTGCTGCTTTTGCACTCCACGACAGAGTTGAGAAATATGACCCATAAAGTTGACAATATTTACTATCTGCTCTTTCATTGAAAGAGTTTCCCACCTTCTGCTTTAGTCCATCAATGTAATAAATATAAATTGGCATAATAAACTTATGTAATAATCCACGACAGTCATGAGATGTTAAAATCTCTCATTAATGAGGTTTCTAAGCTCTTGATTTATAACCCTTTCTAAGGAAGCAGCTGCTGTACTTGTCCAATTACCATTAAAACTAGATATTGGAGAAGCAGGAACATCCTAATATGGAACCAGAGCATAAAAACTTATGTTTTTGGCCCCTATTATATAACATCGGCTTCCCTTCCTCTATATAAGCAGGGTCTTTTAACTCTGCTACTATGGAGTACCTTTTTTTTTTTTTTGGCTTGTTAGTCTTTTGCGACAAGGAGCCCGAAGTGACTTGGTGACAACCATAGCTTATAGTTCAATGCTACTCTCAGTCTCCTTGACAGAAGCATTCCTCCTTTGGGAACCAGAATCTCTAAACCACAGAACCTAAAATTCTGGGGACTGCAAGAACAAAAACTCCAAGCAGGAGAGATGGCGAGCAGAGATACTCCTACATCCACTCTTATTCCTGGGATCCATGCCACGCCTTCTGCATAGTGAAGACTCAGTACCATATAAAGGACACAAATTTACCACACATAGAATGTCCCAGAGCATGATGTCACCTTTCCGTCTCACAGCATCATCTCAAATAAATTACATGTGGTGTTATTGCCCTATCCAGCTAACATATTCCAGATGGTGTTAAATATGATAAGAACAATGGATTCCACAATCATGTTCCCCCTGCCTCATCTCCTTTGCAGTAAAATGGGTTTCTTATTCCTGAGAAATTATATGTAGAATCTCATGTCTAGAAACCAAAAATCACTATCCCTTAAGAAAAGCTCAAATTAACCAATTTTCTAACTGTCTTGTTAGTCATCTCAATAAATAGTGCTAAAATCAGAGACTTGGTGTTAGTCTCTTTGGATAGCAGATTGGTCAAAGAGCAGTGGCAATAGCTAATTATCCTCATGCTGATGGGAGCATGAGGAGCTCATGAGTGGGAGCTCATGCTAATAGGTCTATGTTTAATGGATGGGTCTATGTTCAGTTTCTATCACTGACATTGGTGTATTGGTCTTTGGTATATTCATTGTATCAAAAATGGGATAGGTAATGGCAGAGGCTAGTTGATGTCAGTTGCCCATTATTCTGTCTACTTGGTTGCTTAAGACCTCTTTTTTTTTTTTTTTTGGTGGTTGCTTTCAGTGGATGCTAACAAACCATACAAAGATTTTCACATTTTATGCTCATTCCAATAGCTTCATTTCATGCCTCTTGCTCAGAATTTCTTGTTTTCAGTCTTCTAATTTTTCTTCTTTCAGTCTTCTGATCAGCCAGATAAGACATTTGAGACTAACAAACAGTACCAAGATTTTCACACTTTTATGCTCACTCCATTGGGCTTGTCTCATCCCTCCTGCTCAGAACTCCTTGTCCCTGATCCTCTACTTTTTCCTCTTTCAGTCTTTTGATCAACCAGGTAAGACATTTTATACTGTCCATAAGCCAATGGGTATTTATATTTTGGCCATTTTTCTTTCCCCATAAAATTAAAGAAAAGGTATACTTCCCAGAGCTTTGTCTTACAGGCTCACCCCTTAGTAGTGTTATAGTATTAGCTGTCTACTTTCAGATCACACTAACGTACTGAGCCCACCATTAACAAACCAAACTCAGCCTTTTCCTCTATTCATCTATCACTCATGAGGTAAACCCCATGCAACCATAAGATAGAGCTAAGTGAGAGTCCAATACAGGGCTGATTACCAGATGGAGGTCTGGGTCACTGTTTGGTAACTTACTTATGCCTTCTGGGTGTGCTCATGTCTGATTCTTGATATGCCTCTTCCACTTGTGATGATTTGCTACTAAGGCTACCTATCTTGAGATCTTAGTGGGTCTTACAGAATCCATCTTTGGTCACATAGTCACTTGATAAACCATAGTCAAATACCCCATCTCTACTAGGACCCAGAAGCATACCAACAACTGGTTTTCAAAAGGTGTAGACTTACTGATGAAATGGCCTTGTCTAATAACTCTAAGTTCTATGTTGTAATTCTCCTATTGGTACTGGCTATAAAATCAACACAGCATCTTTTTTCACCATGGGCAGGTCCAGAACCAGAGTGTCTACCTGATTTTATAACCCAAGCAGCAGTTCTTATTGTTCCACAGCTGGGACTTGCTGCAGAATTATTTCCCTATCTGGGTCCAATATCAAACTGGCAGAACTCCATGTCACCAAGTAAATGGGTTGGAGTTGTGCACTATATGCCACCTCCTGAACTAGGGTGTGATTACCAAGCATAAGGCTTCATGGTGGCAGGAGGAGTGCAATGCAATAAGGTGTCTTTTATTAGGAGAGGGTGTCCCAGCAGACCTCATCCGGATGAATCCAAAAGTACTTAACTTGTGTGGCAGGCCCTGAACCTCGGTAGGGCTTATCTCTCACCTCCACAGATATGTTTTCCAAGGCTTTTTATATACTCATCACGTATTGCTCAACTGTTGTAACTTGCATGATGGCAGTAATTGAGTGAAATAATGTGTTTTCTGCAGAATACCCAGAAGGCCCAGGTCATTTTAAACTACATTACAATATAAGCCAGGAGAGTAAAATAGCTCATAGTGCATATTAATTTGGAACCAGAGTTCAGCAATCATTGAAAGGTTTGTATATTCCCTTTCTACCATGCATAATTATATGACTAAAAGACAACAGATCCCTTGGGAACATGGAAGAATTAATAGTTAGTGCATTTACTATGATGCTGCAAAGTCCTTTCTCATAGAGTTTCAGCCTTTCCTTCAGTAAGTGGCTTCTGAGTCTGAGAACTTATTTAAAGCTGTACATGGGCTCAGGACTTCTGATTTTCATTGTATAAATTATGGATAAATGAATGGTCTTCTGGATCCTCTCATAAAACAATCAGTTCAGCTCATGAGTGCTCTAGACTTCCATGGGATATGCACCCTGGAATGCCCATTTTTAAGCATGTCCTTACCATCTGGCTTTTCTATTTTACATAGCATGAGCCATTGCTTTTGCCACACTTTGAAGGGCCATTCCAGCAGCATATTAGTAACATCATCAGGGGTCCTTGTCAGGGTATTAAATCTTGCATCACAGAAGTATGCCTCTTTCTATGCATTCTCCCTTATTTATATTAATATTCTGCTTCTCTCCATCAACACCTCCAAGTTTCTTCCCATTTATGCTCTCCCAGCTTTTGCTAGCACATAGTGGACATATTCTGAAGCTTCTTCAATGTATATTTCTTTTCTCTTAGAATGTCTCCCATCTCCTCATCTATACATTCCTGAGATTTGATCCCTGTTATTGATCTGGTTGCCTGCAAGGGAGATAAGGTAGATCCTGAGCGGTGTGAGCTTAACCTTGAAAGGTACCTGCCAAATTTGAGTATGTTCCGTGATCTTCAAGCAAGACATCAATGTCAGGACTAGGGTGAGAACAGCAAGGTGCCTAGTGAAGCTTGGCACCCTAACAACCCCTGTACTTGCACAACCTTGAGAGAGAGTGCCTCCTTAATGTTGTTTACTAAACACCTTACTTACTTCCCCCCTAGTCCCAGCTGTGCAAGAAAAGAAGCACCATCATTTACCAGGCTGTATGTATCACTTCTGCAAGCCTCGTTAGTTCAGTGGAATCTAGGAGAACAAGCCTCTCAGCTGCATCTACCCAAATGTCTCCTTTTCAAGCTCCGTGGTTCCACTGCCTCCCTGTTAGACTCTTGAATTTGGTGTAAGAAAAATGCCAGAGCTGAGAGCTCAACCTACCCTGAAGCTCTGCTCTTTTATTATTAAATTTTGAGACAAGTTCTCCATTTTGTATGCCCTCCAGCTGCAAGAAATTAAGGTTTCCTTAAATACTACCCAAAAGACTCTCTGTTTTCAGTTGCTCTTGAAATGTTGATTTATCACCCACACCCTGTCATTTTCTCTCTTCAATGAATAAGTGGTAGTCAGCAAGAGTTACCCAACTCCATTGATTCTAAGTTCAATTTCTCTTATATTTACCGAATACTAGACATATTGTGCCAACAAATGAATTTCTTTTCACTTGCATCCCATGAAAATTTACCATCAAAGAATAGTTTAACAATTTTACTGTTAGAATATGTCTGGCACTATCCAAGTCCCACTGACCATCAAAGATGAGTCCTTAGTGTCATCCAAGGGCTAATATAGCTCTAAAAATCTATTCTCTAGGTCTGTCTCATACTACCTTTGGTCAAGTTTCCCAGAAACAGAAAGTAAGAAGAATTTCATGCAGGAAGTAGTCAAGAGTGCTCTTGGGAGCATCATCTAAGGAAATGAGGGACTCAGACTAGGCAAAGGGAGAAACTGTTAAGATACAACAATCCTAACAGATCACCTGGGTTGACCCGGAAGTGACATAATCTTACCTTACGGCTGAAAGTGATTCCTAGTGAGGAACAACATTATGAACCACCCCAAACTCATATTCCCAGCAGCACCTGAAGGTTAGTTGTGTGACTCCTAAAGTGGAGGTGGTCTGAGCAGACCACCTCAATTTCTATTTCAGGGAATATTTTATTATATAAAATAAGATTACATTTTGAATAAGTTTGTACTACTTCTGGGGGAAAAAGAATTTATATTTAGAGGTAATTACTGAAAAATTCGATAAACTTTGAGGCAAATACATGGGCAATAGGTAAACATTTTTCAAGTGTCAAAAGATTCAACTTTTGATATCACAAGACAAGTATCGGTACAAGGTGGGCGGGGGTTGTGCTTGGTGAACCCTCAAGTAGGTTTCAGATTTGAACATGTTTCAAGTGATCATATCAAACTGTTCTAAGCAACTAGAAAGTGCATAAAATGTGAAGCAGCCTCTCAGCTGTGGTCTCCAACATGACAAACCTGTAGATAAGATAGTTAGACAGATAGATCTCTAATTTCTAGTTTTGATACATCAATTTTTTTTCAATCTAGCAGATAACTCATACTAAGTGTATAAGGTTAGTTTGTCTATCCCTGATTATGCTTCTGTGAGAATAAAGGTCATAGTATTGAATAAAGTTGAAGCATCTGTCCTGAGTTTTTCACCTGGAAATCCAAGGATTACTACTATCAATATGCCGGACTGAAAAACATAGATCAGAGTCAATGAAAATGATACATTGTTTTTGAAGAAAAACAGAAAACAAAAAAGTGACTTCCTTGATCTTTTGGAATAAACCACACATTTATGAGAAAGAATGCTGAAATAATCCTATTGCTAAACATAGAACTCCTCTGTGACACTTTTTCTAACCAAGATTTAGTGAGATTAAATCAGATTAAATAACTGATATACAGTTCTTAGCATATACAAAGGAATCAATAAATACAGAAACCTCTTTCTTTAAAGAAATTGTCTAAATCGTGTGTTAGTTAATGGTTAATTCCTGACAGTTACTTCAAATTGGGAAGGAAACTTCTGTGATTTAATCACAGCCCTTCTTTCTCTGCATTGAGAACCAATTAAGAAATAAAGGTATGAGATGGGGATCCAAATAGCAGCTTTGTTGAGCAGCTCGTGATTTGGAGATACAGCTTGGATCAGATGGGCTTTCTGTTGCTTCTTCCTTCATTTGGATTTAATTCAGTTTTAGGGAAGAAATGCTTTCCCCCAGTTACCTGATGGCACAAACAAAACGGACCCATTCTAGAGCCAAGAAGAGCCAAAGGAGGAAAGCCACAGGCCCTAAAAGCACAGCAGACATCACACCTTTACCTTGCCTAAGAAGAACTGGACCGATAAAGGTCAAACTCCTGCCATCATGACAGTCAAATTCGTTATTTCTCTTCCAAGGAGGAGTACATGAAAAAATTTAAAACGGCAAAGTGTTACTCCAATACTGTTCCTTCCTGGAAAAGAAACGTTTTCTCATGAAAACAAGAAAAGATTAGTAAGGTTTTCCCTTAAAAATGATCTGGAAAATGAAGCTGTCATTTGTTTCTAAAACTGAGACAATATGTCTGTGAGCATCCATGCAGTAATATATCAGAAATATTCCAAAGTATATGAGGAATGGCAAGTGGAAGGAAGATAAAATTTTAATATAGAAGAACTCATGATATATTGTCATTTTAATTGCTATAATATTTGTGTGATTTTCTTCCCTTAATTTGTGTTTTTAAAAATATTTCCAAGAAAAAAAAACTGTGCTGCAAGTTTAACATTAACTAAAAGTCACAGGCTCATATTTAAATCTTATCCTGTTGGAAAAATAATCCCAACTTATGTAGTGCATGATGGTGAATTATAAAAATATTCCTGACACAACATTACTAAATTAGAAAAATTGTATGGCTTATTAAAAATATGTCAATGTAGCTGAATAGATTTTTTAAAGAAAACTATAAAACATGGTATGAAGTTGGATTAAAATTAAATAACTTGAATAAAATGGTTATTTAAAAATTATTTTAAAAATAGAATTATCATAATAAAAATAACTTGGAAAGCTACCTCACTGATGTAGTCAAAATGGTTTTAGCCAAATTTGCAATGAGACCTAGGGAGGAAAATATATCAAGAAAGAACAAATTTAAGAAAGGATGTGTTGCTGTTGGGGAAGCCAGGATTTCAATGTGGACTTCAGGAGACATTTACTTGGATGCATCTTAATTCTTGAAGCAGAAAGGCCCAAATTTGCCCTCCACGCTGAAACAGAAGTGACTGTTAAGTCAAACCTAACTTTAGGATATCCATCCTTGAAAATTTTTTTTGCGTCTAAAGTTATATAGACAGTTAACTTCTATTTCTTAAACATTTGTTTATTGAATTTGAATTTCAAATGTAGAAGCAATCTGTGAAAGTAACAGGAACTCTCATTCATTGCTGGGAGGAATGCAAACTAGTACAGCCACTTTGGAAGACAGTTTGGCAGTTTCTTACAGAACTAAACGCTCTTACCATACAATCCAGCAATCACACTCCTAGGTAATTTTCCAAATGAGTTGAAAACATACGTCCACATAAAAACCTGCCCATGAATGTTTATATCAAATCATAATTGCCAAAACCTGAAAGCAACCAAGATGGCCTTCAATAGGTGAATGGATAAACAAACTGTGGTACATCCTTAAAATGTGACATTCAGCTATAAAAAGAAATGAGCTACGAAGCCACAAAAAGACATGTAGGAAACTTAAATGCATATTGCAAAATAAAAGAAGTCAGTCTATAAAGGCTACATCCTGTGCGATGCCAAGTATATGACATTCTAAAAAAAGGTAAAACTATGGAGATAGTAAAACAATTAGTGGTTGCCAGGGGCTTGGGAGAGGGAGGTATGAATAGGTGGAGCACAGAAGATTCCTAAGGCAGGGAAACTATTCTGTATGACGCTATAATAATAGACACATATCATTATACATTTGTTAAAAACCCAGAATGTACAACACAAAAAGTGAGCCCTAATGGAAACTATAGACTTTAGTTAATAATAGTGAGTCAATATTGGTTCATCGATTATACAAAGGTACCACACCAATACAAGATGTTAGCAACAAGGAACCTTTGTGTGGTCGAAAGAAGACGTATGGGAACTCTCTGTACTATCTGCCCAATTTTGCTATAAACCTGAAACTGCTATAAAAATATAAAGCATAATAATATTTTTAAGTAGCCATGAAAACATTCCAAGACAGTTTGCTATTTTCCTTGTTCAAAGAAACAAAGGTAACTTTCACATTTTTTATAGATATTATCTTGTTCTAATATTCTCTGTCTTTTAAATTCAAGTTATAAAAATTTCTGGCTTTCATATTCATAAGGATAAATAAAATGAATATAGTAGTAGAGTGTTCAAATAAAGACTAATCTATTTTTTTCAGCCCCAAGCTATGCACTGTCCTCTCTATGGATAAAGTCTCTTGAGCTGTTCTTGAGAAGTTCATCCACTATGCAGATAAAATGTGTAAAGTGACCTTTTGTTCAGGCCAGGAGAAGTTCAGCATAACCATGTCATGAAGTGTTTTGGGGGAGAGTGTAGACTAATTTTATATCTAGGTTAGTGGGTACAGTAGGTATCAAAATCTTGCAACACTTTTTCTCAGAGATTAACTGTTATGGAACTCTAATGTGATGGGCTGTCATAGTTCCCATCCAGGTCTATGGCACAAGAGCAGGGAGGACTCAAAGAAAATCTACCAGAGAGCCCAAAATTGTGGCGCTTGGAGATGAATCCCGGCATTGAGTTAGAAGCGATAAAGGGGGACATTGATCTAGTTCTATGATGTAATTGATGCTGGAACTGGTCTTTCATTAACCTTGAAATTGATTATATGTGAATCTTGAAAAAGCTAATTAATAAAGCTGTCACACTTGGTATCTAAACCACCTAGGGTGTTCATTCTCCCACACTAAAAATTACACAGGGATTGTTCTTGCTTGATGGACTGCAGCAACTGGAAGAGTTAGCAGCTACACAGCAGGCTTTCTTCACTGCAGCCAGAATCCCTGCCACCACAAGCCCATCAGCAGACAGATGTCCCACTCATGCTACCTTGATCTTGTACTCTTCAAGTATGGCTGGCTGAGATATTGACTAAGCATTGACCTTGAGGGAATTCATCAGTTTAGCAAGAAGCACTTTCTTCACTGGGACATGAATTTGAAAAACTGATACCTATGAAAAGGGCTGTAAACGTGGCAAGATTTTTCCTAGCAACCATGGTATTGTTTGGAAAATGGAATTCATCTAAAGCTTCAAATTGAGGTCTGTTGAGAACTACCTCTACTCAGCAAATAATATCCCTCAGCAAGCAATGCATGGAAGTAAGACCAAATTAGACTGGGCTCCTCTCCTGTCCAGATGCTAAGGAGCTGGAGAACTGGGCATTTAAAGAAGTGGGGCTGCGTTAGTCTGCTCTTGCATTGCTATAAATGAAAAAAAAAAAAAAAAAAAAAAAAAAAAAGCAAAAAAAAAAAAAACCTGTGACTGGGTAATTTATAAAGAAAAGAGGTTTAATTGGCTCACATTTCTGCAGTCTGTACATGAAGCATAGTGCCGGCATCTGCTTCTGGCAAGGGCTTCAGGAAGCTTAAAATTCCAGTTGAAGGTCAACAGGAGCCCGCATGCCATATGAGGAGAGTGGGAGCAAGAAAGAGAGAAGAGGGAGGTCCTAGATTATTTTAAACAAGTAGATTTAGGGCCAGGCATGGTGGCTCACTCCTGTAATCCCAACACTATGAGAGGCCAAGGTGGACAAATCACTTGAGGTCAGGAGTTCGAGACCAGCCTGGCCAACATGGTGAAACCCCCTATCTACTAAAAATACAAAAAATAGCCAGATGTGGTGGTGCATGTCTGTAATCCCAGCTACTTGGGAGGCTGAAGCAGGAGAATTGCTTGAGCCTGGAAATCAGATGTTGCAGTGAGCCGAGATCTGGCCACTGCACTCCAGCCTAAGCAGCAGAGAGAGACTCCGTCTCAAAAAAAGAAAAAGACCAAAAAAAAAAAAAAAAAAAAAACAAGCAGATTTAGGATGAACTGAGGGAGAACTCACTTATCACCAAGGGGATGGTGCTGAGTCATTCATGAGGGATCCGCTCCCATAATACAATAATACAATCACCGCCCACCAGGCCCCACCTCCAATATTGAGACTCACATTTCAACATGAGATTTGGAGGGGACAAACACCCAAACCATAACAAGAGCATTATATCATTTTAACATAATGATTGATTTTACTTTGTTTACTCAGTAGTGGGACTGCTGGACTGAATGGTTGTTCTATGTTTAGTTCTTTGAGAAATCTTCATACTGTTTTCCATAGAGGTTGTACTAATTTACATTCCTACCAATATTTTATAAGCATTCCTTTTTTTCTGCACCCTCTTCAACATCTACTATTTTTTGTCTTTTCAGTAATAGCCATTCTGACCGGTGTAAGATGACATCTCACTGTGGTTTTGATTTGAATTTTTTTTTTGACTGGTGATGTTGAGCACTTTTTCATACGCTTGTTTGCCATTTGTATCACAGCTCTATGCACAATAGCAAAGATATGGAATCAACTTAAATGTCCATCAGTGGATGATTGGAAAAAGAAAATGTGGTATATATATATATCATGTAATATTATGCAGCCATAAAAGAATGCAATCATGTTTTTTGCAGCAACATGGATAGAACTGGAGATCATTATCTTAAGTGAAACAAGTCAGAAACAGACGAATACCACATGTTCTCACTTATAAGTGGGAGTTAAATAATATGTACACATGAACACAAGGTGTGGAATGATAGACAATGGAGATTCAGAAGAATTGGGGAGTGGGAGGGGGTGATGAGAAATTACTGAATGGGTATAATATACTTTTTTTTTGGTGATGGATACACTAAAAGCCCTGACTTCGCCACTATAGAACATATACATGTAACAAAATTGCGCTTGTATCCTTTAAATCTTTACAAGTTAAAAAAAAAAGAGAGAGAGAGAGAGAGATTGGGGCTTTGAAAATGCCTCCAATAGACTTTCCAGTCCTACAGCTGGAAAAAGCTCAAGGATTGCACCTGGAATTGGACCACAGCACATTATTTACACTCAACACTAAAAAAAGATGACCCATGATGTACGTGAACAGAAATACATTCAGCGTGTCAGTACGGTTGGTACAAATTTAAGACAAATTGTGTTGAACAGATTTTCTACTTTTAGTCACTAATGACGTAGAATACTAAATCAGGGACATTGTTTTTAGAGGATTTTAGTTTAAATTTTCCTATTATCTATGATTGCCGCTATCCCTCAACCCATATAGAAGACAAATATATCCTGATAGATCAAATGAGTTACGTGTTTCTCTAAAATTAGATTCAGGTCAAAAAAAAAAAAACATGCCAGTGAGGAAGAACTGAGATCAAAAAGTCCTGTGTGGTCTGTGGAATCCAAGGTTTAAAAAAAAAAAAAAAAGGACTTGGAGATAAATGTCCATGAATAACTCCTGATGCAGACACCTGTGCTGAGAACAAATGAAGTTAATCAAAGTAAATTTTCAGTATCTCACTTCAGATATATATCACTAAGGATAATTAACCACATTTTACTCACAATTATTTATGGGAACTAAAAACACATTTTAAGTCCTCAATCGATCAGGTTTTCCTTAGTGTGCTGTTTAGACTAGGCTAAATAGATATAGGATAGCACCAAAAAGGGTGAAAAACCAAACATCAGCGTAAATCTGTTTTTTTTTATTTGTAGCAATTTGTTTTTCTCCCTCTGGACAGCACTGAAGCTGCCGGTAATGTCACCAATTTGTATTAATACTGCAGATCTTCTTAGACTTTACACCGGTACACAGAAGGACATGGGGTATTTAGGAAAACGTGTATTTCCAAACCTATTTGTTTTGGTCCTGGCAGTAGAATAAACAGAGATATACCTGACTAACTGGGAAGCCTAGAGCATGTTATCAATTTTCTCTGGATTTCAGCCTTCTCATATATTACATCTCTCCATCTACTCAGAGATTGGACTGAATAATGATTTATAAGATAATTTTCAGTTTTAGCGATCTGTGATATTTTGAATATAATCCAGGCCTTTGAATCTGCCAGTAGGCTTTTTTTTTTTTTTTTAAACTTTGAAACGAATCCAAATTTCTCTTTCCTCTTTTCCACTATGCTCCCAAAATATTTCGTTTTTCATTTCTGGCTGAGATACTGAGAAGATACAGCATATGCACAATTTAGTTTTGAAGACAATTATTCAAATTTTCCAATAGAAATCTTCTATTTCAATATTTTAAAAGTACTTTGGAAGTAGCATTTCAGATATAAATGGAAAACTGGTAGTGTAAGGATGAATACAGTAATTTAAAAAATTTCAAAGAAAATGATTTAACTTATTCATGAGAAAGCAATTATTTTAAATATCTTTAAGTTCAAAGATGTCATTTACTATCCATAAATGTGAATCATTTATTCATAATTATTTAATGAACATTAATAATAAAGCACAATTATTTTGAAGTCTAATCCTGTCTCTAATATGAATGAGGAAAATGATAGCTATGGCAACAAAAATTTCACATTGTAAATGTATTAGCTACACATGAAACATTTTGAGATTTTCAGCCCCAAAGTTGTGTTTATCTAAATTTGAGCAACCCAATTTTAAAGAATTAGAGTAGGGTATTTCTTCTGAAAGGATCGTTGGTTAACAGAACAAGGGACTCCTCTGTTCTAGATTCAAGTAATGCAAAGATAAACATAATTCTGATTCTAATTCTCAGTGAAAAAATTCCTGTCACTCTTGGCTTAGTTTCCATAGAGAATCTGACACAATTTCCATAAACTCCATCCTCAAATACACAGATAATGTTTACTTTCTTTAGCTTCAGAGATGTGAATTTTCTCTAAGATTGGAGAGATCTCAACCCTTACATTAGGTTCTGCTACTCCATGGCTTGGAGATGGATAGGCAATTGAAACTTTATATTGCTGTTTTGAAGTGATAAGTACACTCCATGAATGTATTAAACATTATACCCCTGTACAAGGTTGAATATTGTCCCCCCTAAATTTATGTCTCCCGGAAACTCAGAATATGAATTTACCTGGAAATAGGGATTATGTAGATATAATAAATTAATCTGAGGTTATGCTGAATTAAAGGCGGGCTTAAATCCAATATGACTGCTGTCCTCATAGGAGGAAAATTTGGAGACAGAAATGCAGACATAAGTGGGAGACGGCCATGCAAAGACAGACGCAGAGATCAGAGTGATGCCGCGGCAAACCAAGTAAGACCGAGGAGTGCCAGCCACCAACAGAAGCGAGGGAGGGGCAAGGAAAGCATCTTCTCTAAGAGCCCTCCCAAAGAACATGGGCCACTTGACACTTGATTTTAGATTTCCAGCCTCCAGAAATGTGGGAGAATAAATTTCTATTGTTTTAAGCCACCCAGTTTGTGGTATTTTCTTATGACAGCTCTAGGAAACTAATACACCCTCACTCAATAAATTAGTAAATTATGTGTCATACAATTAAAAGTAATGGTATTTAAAAAAATTTAAGTATTCACTAAGAAAGAACATATGAACAAAGAAAATACATAGCACATATAAGACAAAAATAATGGACGAGAGATATAAAGTGAATACTAGAGAAAGAAAGAGAATAGAATGTTGCATTTTGGAGATTTCTCAATCATATCTCCCCTCACCCCGATATAATCGCTTTCCTGAGTTTTATTTCAATTATTTCTTGGATATTCTTTAGTTTAACACCTTAGCATGTATTCCTAAACAATATATTTTAGTTTGAACTCTTGGTTGACTTCATATAACTGAAATCATAAAATACGGTCATGTGCCTCACAACAATGTTCAGTCAACAATGAATCACATATACGATGGTAGTCCCATAAGACTGTCATACTGTATGTATTTTTACTATGCATTTTCTATGTTTATATAGACCCATAAGACTTTATTACAATTTCCTGCAGCATTCGGTACAGTAATATGCTGTACAGATTTGTAGCCTAGGGGCAATAGGCTATACCTATTATAAAGCTATAGCTTAGGTGTATAATTGGCTATGCCATCCAGGTTTGTGTAAGTACACTCTGATGTTCAAACAATGATGAATTTATCCAAAGATGCATTTCTCAGAATGTATCCCTGTCTTTAAATGACATATGACTGTATGTGTGTGTGTTTTCACTGATTGACTTTTTAAATTTTATCTATGTTGTTATACATGCTGCGATATGTTCATTTGCATTAGTGTACTATAATTTTGAATGAAATGTACCATTATTTTCTTATCCATTCTACTGTTGGTGAACATTTGGTTTGTTACAGAGTACAGCTATTATGAATAATACTACCACAAACATTCTTGTACATGTCTTCATCTGTGCAGAAATGTAACTCTGCTTACTCCATACCTAAATTAAAACTGCTTCATCAGTGAGGTATGCATAACTTAAAATTATTTATCAACACTCTTGTACCAGTTTTCATTCCTCTCAGCAGTATATGAGTCTCCATTGTTCCATAACCTTTCAGACACTTTACATTGCAACATATATTTCACTGGGTGTATTAGTCAGGGTTCTCTAGAGGGAAAGAACTCATAGGATACATACATAAATAAAGGGGAGTTTATTAAGGAGTATTAACTCACACGATCACGAGGTCCCACAGAAGACCATCTGCAAACTGAGGAGAAGAGCCAGTCCAAGTCCCAAAACTGAAGAATTTGGAGTCTGATGTTCGAGGGCAGGAAGCATCCAGCACAGGAGAAAATATGTAGGCCTGGAGGCTAGGCTGGTCTCATGTTTACACATTTTTCTACCAGATTTATATTCTAGCCATGCTGGCAGCTGATTAGGTGGTGCCCACCCAGGTTAAGGGTGTGTCTGCCTTTCCCAGCCCACTGACTGAGTTAAACTCCTGTGGCAACACCCTCACAGACACACCCAGGATCAATACTTTGCATCTTTCAATCCAATCAAGTTGACACTCAGTATTAATCATCACACTGTGGTTATGATTTTAATTGCTCCAAATTAGTAATAAGGTTATGTAGATACATAACCTTTGCTCATTTATTTGCCTATTCAATATTTTTGCTCATTTTTTTCTATTGAATTTTCTGTCTCCCTTAACGACATTTGGAATTATTTCCATACTCTAGATACCAGTTCTTTATTGGTCATATGTATTGCAACTATCCTCTCTCACAATATGAAGGGTCATCACATACAGTGGTATATGTTATGCCAAAAACAAGGGCACCCAGCCAAGTTGGTGAGTTAGGGCTGAATCTCATCTTGTGCTTCACTCACAGAGCTGTGCTCTTATAAGGCTGTAGTACTCAAGGAGGTTGCTTTTTGTTGTTGTTGTTCCTTTTTTTTTTTTTTTTTTTTTTTTTTTTTTGAGACAGAGTCTCATTCTATCACCCAGGCTGGAGTGCAGTGGTGTGATCTCAGCTCACTACAACCTCTGCCTCCTGGGTTCAAGCGATTCTCCTGCCTCAACCTCCTGAGTAGTTGGGATTACAGGTGTATACCACCACGCCCAGCTAATTTTTGTATTTTTAGTAGAGTTTCACCATGCTGGTCAGGCTGGTCTCGAACTCCTGACCTCGTGATCCGCCTGCCTCGGCCTCCAAAAGTGCTGGGATTACAGGTGCGAGCCACCGCACTGAGCCAGAGGTTGCTTTTCTAATCTATAGTGCTCTTATCTCACGGCCTGTCCTTTCACTCTTAGGTCTTTTAATGAGCAGCAATTTGCTAATTTTAAAGTAGTAAATTTTATCAATATTTTCCTTATGGTTAGAACTATTTTGTAGCTAGTTTAAGATGCTTCCTTATCTTAAGGGATCAAAGAACTTCTTCCAGATTATTTCAATTTCTTTATTACATTTAAGTATTTAATGTAAAATTTTATTTTAATTGGATACCCAATATTCCCAGCATGATTTAATAAAAAGCAACAATTGTGCTTTCCATATTACTCTAGAGTAATACATTTGCCATAAATCAAATGCCAATTATTGAATATATTGTTTCTGTATTTGATTCTCATCTATTGGTTTGCCCATGTAACAATTCTAAACTAGCTTTATTACTATTGTTTATAATATGTTTTGATCTGTTAAAACAAGCTCTTCCAACTTTTACTTCTCCAAGACCGTTGTGACAATATTTGGTGCTTCACATTTTCATATAGATTATAGACTGTTAGGTTACGCAAGATCACACACACACACACACACACACACACACACACACACACAAACCCATTTGAAATTTTGATTTTTGATTTTAAATCCATACACATATCTGGAGAAAATTGAGATAATGCAAATGTCCCACTTTCTATTCTGTAAACATGGTATATTTTTTCATGTATGTGAATTCTTTGATGACCCTTTCTCTCCAGGCCATGAGTTTGGAGAAATCGAGGAGAGGAAGGTTTACTTCTGGTTCATGCTTAGTCTGAATAGCCTCTGAATTTCAAGTAAATGTGGGAAGGATCTCTTATAAGACTCCTTACCTTGATAGTTCTGGGCCTTGATTAGTTTCTACTTTTCCTAACTGAAACTCCATTGTGAGGTATTAGAAAATGATCTCAAGACAAAATCAGCTGCGATGCTCTCACATTTTTTGTTACCTGAGTTCATAATTTTCTACAAAAACTGGCACAAATATTCTGCACTATTTTAAGCACTCCAATCCCATTAAAAACTTAAAGAAAATATTTTGAGCATTTATAAAGCAAGATAAATTATCCTACTAAACTAGCTCATTGCTACAGGACATGGAATGTCAAATATACTTTTTATAAAGTACTATTTTAGGCATTTATTTTAAAATAACAAAATATGGAGGGCATGTAAAATAACTGGAGAATTCTTAGGATGTTTGATGTTAACCTGATATTTTAATATTAATTATTTTATATCTACTATATGTCAATTAATTCATTTCATGTTATTTGTCAATATATTAATAATTTAAGGACAGAAAACACAAGCTTCATGAGGAAAAAAACCCCTCGAACATGGGTTTTAAACTTTATGTTTTGAATGCCTTCATTTCTCTAAAGATCTTTCAAGGATTGCTATGTAGGAATAAGTGAAGAATAAATGAGCCCAATCAAACACATACAAATCTCACTTTACAAAGAATAATTCTGTGTTTTTTTTCCCTATTAGGTTGGAATTTGTAATGGAATTTAGTTGAAAGAATAATTGCCAGAAAGAAATACCTGAAAACCACTGGTCTGTAAAAATAAAGAAGATTCTCAGTATGCTGATTAAATAGTACCTGAGCTACTGTGTTATAATCTGAATGCCATACTTCATGGAATGTATCCAGCGGAGAGTCGTCTCACCTAATTCTAAGGAAATCTGAATTGCATTATATAAGAGACTATCATTTGTTCAGCAAATATTTATTTACCAGATTTTCACTAATCCACTGGGCACTGCTGATATAAGACTGAGGAAGAGGAGACAAGGTTTTTTCGCTGATGAAGCTGACATTTTAGTGGGTAAGACAGGAAAAAATATGTAATAAAATGGTAAATACAGTACTGGCAACAATAATAATCCATATTTTTCAAGTTGATGAGTTCATAAAATGTCCCAGAAAAAGGTATACAATTTTAACTAATAAATACAATTGAAATATATCTGAAAGTCTTGAAAGTCAGGCAGCCAACTCCTATTTTAACAAGTACATAAAATGTACTTACGCAGGGATGTTTTCAATTTGCAATTGAATCATAAGTTAATATCAAGGATGAGTAATAAAAGGGAATCTTCATCTCTATATTCCTTCTTTAACTTTATATTCAAGATCTTCTTCAGATTTCTTTTTCTTTGTATTTTTTCTCCTCCCTACCTTTGGACATTTATCATGTTGTCTCTGTAATGCCCTTAAATGTTTAAAAAAAAAAATCCATGGTGAGAGGGAAGGGGCTGTGAAGCTCTTTAAAATAACCCACTCTTTCATTTTGCAATTTGCAAAACATAAGGACATCTATTTGAAATACAACACTTCTGCGTCTTTCAATTTATTAGATCTTGCCTCTGGCCTGTAACAAAAGTCGAAGACACTGGAGAAACCATGAAAGACCCCTCCACTGTAAAGTCAATAAAATTGTTCCAGAGCAGGGAATTATGTGTCAAGGCAAGCTGGCGGTGGCATCTGCTGCTGTATTGACTGTCCGCATTTGCTCAAATGCTCTGGCCAGCTGAACAGTCTCTCCTTTCTCTCCTCACGTATCCACATGTGTTCCCCTAAGGCCATCTTCTAGCTGAAGGCATATGTGGCGGAAAACCAAAGTAGCACACTTCTTTAATGTGAGGATATTACTTGTGAAATTTTCTGCTACCACAGCTGCTGGCATAACCAGAGAGAGAGGTCAGTTTAGTGCAGATAGGAGGGGCCAGGACAGAGGCAGACATAGAGGAGATAGGAGTGCCCTGATGCTCTGAAGGGAGCAGCCTGCCCACATTGATGTTTTTTTAAATAGTTTTTATTTTTCCTTTATTTTAATGGCTATACAAAAAAATATATGTTTTTCCCCTTTTTAATTTCTCTCTCAACTTTGGTCCCAGCTCCAAGAAATCTCATTATGTATATGCAAATGCTCAGCTTGTAATATTTTGTCATCCATCATTTTAATTCTGTGATTTAAGTGATACCATTTTCAGGTTGATTTTAAAAAATAGTATAGTGTTCCTACATGAGTTTGTATTTTAAATATTATTTCAACAGCCTTACTATATTTTTTAAACTTTGACCAAAGACTGTGCTATTGAACAACTCAGATTTTTGAAATTCTACATGATTTTTTTTTAATTGGTAAAAGATAAACAGGTAGTTCTTAAAGACATAAATATGAAAATATTCTGTGATGGACAATTTAATCCTGTGAGACTTTGTAGGCATGATACTGATGAAGTCTATTATATACCTGCTTCTATAGATGTATGCACATAGATAAGCATATACATATTTTTTACTAGCCTGAGGAAGAATTTATGGCTAATATGTTTTCCTCTTCGTTGCTACTAGCACAATTTGTATTTTAAAGATTTTAACTTTCTACTACTATGGTTCTCTAGCTCATTCTGATTTATGATTCTATATACACAGGTTGAGTGTTCCATATCTGAAATGCTTGGGACCAGAAGTGTTTGGGATTTTGGAATATTTGCATATACATTATGAGATTTCTGGGAGATGGGACTCAAGTGTGAATAAGAAATTCATCTATGTTTCTCATACATCTTATATGCATCAACTGAAGGTAATTTATTTTGCCTTTGGTGACACTGAATAAATTGTGTTGTGTGTGTGCACTTTGACTGCCACACCTCACACAGGTTCCAGTGTGGAATTCTTCACTTGTGGCATCATGTTGGCACTCAAAAAGTTTCAGATTTTGGAGCATTTATGACCAGATTTCCCGATTAGGAATGTGCAACCTGTAAAACCTATTAACTTCCTGCTGTTAAAGACAAGGATTTATTTCACTTCTGCCACTCTCAGAGTATTCTACCGCCTAATTATACCATTGTTTCTCTACCAGTTGCCACTATAATTTTAAATAACATGCATAGGCTTCTACTTTTGATTCCATTAATTGGAGACAATATTTTTTGACTCTACCCTTGATGATGGGATAGGTGAGCAAATCAGTTCTGTAACCCTTCTTTCTCTCTGCTTGCTTAGTCATTCCCCAATCCTATTGGAAATAAATTTGCTCTTATGTTACCATTGTTGGTATTCTCTTCTGTCGCATAGTCTCCTCACACTCTGTTTTCTTAGGTTGTGTGTATAAGTTTAAAACCAATAGAACAATATAAATTATTTTAATTGTATCTAATTATAATTATTAAACTAATTAATTTTATAGTATGTAATTATATTAATTATAACATTATAATTATATCTTCTTCTCTTTAGTTCCAACATTTTAGTCTTGTGCAAGTTTAAGCTAAAAATCTTCAAAAAATTTTTGCATACTCCACCAATTATTTACAATCAGGCTAACATATTAGTTTGCTTCCTACCTGGATTACACCTTTCTCCACAGTTAGGAGTTGCTTTTGCTTTTTCTTTTTTGCTGAAGTCACTATCCTTTATTGAAGGTAAATTTTTTAAAAATTTTATAACGAATATCTTCCAGCTCTTCTTTGTCTCTTGCTGAGAATCCAGTGTGATTGACTCACCAGCATCTGATCCTGAGCAAATTGTTTTGTATTGGGGAAATGCTTTTGTTTTGTTTTTGTTTTTGTTTTTTGTTTTTTTTTTTTTTTGCCTCTTTTTTATGTGGAGTACCCAGTTACACATATTTTGTTCATGCAATTGATCTTAATCATATGATAAATTTCTTATTATTGTCTATTGTAATAGATCTGACTTTTATTCCTGAGTCTGCCTTACAATTATGAACTGGACTTAAGCCTCTACAGACTCATGGCCCAACTTCATCCTTGGACCCTTGTTCTCTGTTCTCCTGGACTGGGGCCTCCACCACTTCTGACTTCCAGTCCATATTGCTGCAGCATTTTCATAAGGAATTTCCTAAGAGCACATGGTATGTTCTGAATCTTAAAACGTCTATAATCTCTCAGCATTAACTAATATTTTGACTGGCTGAAGTACAGGATGAAAGTAACATTGAAAGCACTCTATTCTATAAGCTTCTCCAAACAAATCTCAGATAAAATTGATTCTTTCAGTAGGCAGATGGATAATTTATTTTCTATCCTTCTACACTAAATCTTTTTATCTTCTATCTACAAGGTAATAAATTTCCAATTCATGTGCCTCAAGCTGTTGTTGTTTGCCATTTATCTTTCTCTGAATTTGAAGACATATGCATCCTGTTAAGTCTATAAAACTTTCTTCTTTTATTGTTATTGAATGTTTATCTCCCCACTGCCACTGCTTTATCTGTTTACAACTCCTACCATGACACCTCATAGATAGATTATCTCTGTTGCTCTTCCAGCTTTCTATTGCTGCATATCAAACCAATCCCAAGTTCACATATTACTGAAGTTGTGAAGAAACAGGAGTTCTCACACAAAGTTGATGAGAATTTTAATTGGCACAGTATTTTTGGAAGGCAATTTGGCAATTTAATATGACAAACCCCTTGATTACTATTTTACATATTTATTTTACAAATATATTTTCACAAGTGCTAAAACACATATAAGTATATGAATGTTAATTATAGAAAAATCTGGAATACTAAAATTCTTAAAAAGATGTATAATTCAATAAAATAAAAACACATTTAACCAATAACATAACTTATGGACATTTCAAAATGAGCCTATGACTGATGTAAAAATTAGTAAAAATAAGATTACAAACCAAATTAATGTTCTACACTCATGTAGAATATACAAGCATGTATGTATATACACATGTATATGCATATATATATCCCTCTACAATTTATATGTACAATATAAATTGTAGATATCATCCTGTTAATTTACATGTACATAGAAAAATATATAAAAGTAACTATTAAAAGTTATTTCTTTTAGATATGAGGTTAGATGAGGCTGGAAAAGATGTAAGAGACTTTTTTTATCTTTTTATGACCTGAATTATTTTGTTTTATGGATTATTTTTGCAATTAAAAACACAGTAAAGAATTTTTAAAAGGGAAAGTGATCAATAGAGGAATAGGGGATGAGATAGCATGCTAAATAGGAAGCTATGGAAGCACTGAGAAGGTAGACTCAATCTGCTTTGAAGGAAAGGGTACTTGAATTGGTTGCATTGGCAGAAAGGATTTATTCACACAAAGTAAGAAGGAATGCCCTGATCAGATGTGCATTTTGTGATAATCAATCTAATTGAATGTAGATGATAGAATATAAGGTTAGATTGAAGTTAGTCATTTCAGTATTCATTTATGGTAATAATTAAAGTCTAAAATAAGTAACACATTACCCAAGATTTATGACACAGTGGGAATAGAAAGGACCAACTGCTTGGATGGATTGCATGTGGAATGGGAAATACGGATAATGGCCTTAGCTTTCTATTATTGCTGTAGCAATTTACCACTAATTCAGTGGCATAAAACAACACCCATTTGTTATCTCACTGGCATCTGGGTAGACTGTAGTAAGTCAGGCATCAGGTAAGTCAGGCATCTGGGTGAACTGTAGCCAAGGAGGATCCTCGGCTAGTCTCACAAGGCCAAAATCAAGGTGATGGAATTTGTCTCTGGAGGTTCTGGGGCTGAATCTGCTTCCAAGCTCACTCAGGTTGTTGGTAAAATTTAGTTCCCTGTAGTTGTAGTAATGAAGTCCCTGTTTCCTTGTTAACTGTCACTTGGGGGTCATGCTTTGCTCCTAGAAGCTGTCTGCATTCCTTCACACACTTTCCACAAGCCCTTCCTCTAGCAATAGCAAGTCAAGTCACTCTGTCATTTTGATTATCTACAACTTTTCTCATCTCAACTTTTTTATTATTTCCAGAGAAAGTTTACCACTTTTAAGGACTCATGTGATTGGGTTGGGCCCAAGTAGATAACCCCTGATAGCCTCCTTATTTTACTGCCTATGATTTAATTACATCTATCAAGTCCCATTTGCCATGTTACATGACATATTCAAAGGCTCCAGGCATTAGACTGGGCATCCAGGCATTAGGGTGTGGACATCTTTGGATGTTCATTATTTAGCTTATCACAAATGTAATGTTCCTGGCACACAGTGGATAATTAATAAATGGTGGCAAAGCCAATCACTTTTCACTGTCTCCACTTCTACAACTCACCACTCTAGTCTGAACCATCATCATCTGTTTCTAGACTGATTAAATAATCTCTAAACTGATTTCTGTTTCCACTCTTGCCTTCCTAGATTTTATTCCTCACCTAGCAGGCAAGAGGAGTTTCTAAAACATAAATACAAGTCTTTGCTTAAAACCACCTTCTAGTGTCCCATTGCAATTAGAGTAAAATCTAGTCTTGTTGTTACAGCTTACATGATGTGACCACTTCTACCTGTCTGACACCTTGTGGCTCTACTCCTGCTGTGACCACTAAGCTTTAGTCACAGGAGATTTCATTTTATACATTACCAGACACATATTTAATTTTAAGATCTTTATCTCCTCTTCCTTTTACCTAGAATGGCCCTTCACCAGAACGTTCTCCATTAAGATTAGTTTCAATATTCCTTTGTCAATGAAGTCTTCCCCACTTTCCTTATCTAATCAAGAACATCCTTGTCTTACTCCTGCCTATGGAGTAATTCTATATCCTTTACCTGGTCTATATTTTCACAGCACTTACCACTATCAAAAATCCTCCTGTCTATACGTTCATTGTAGATGTTACAGTTAGGATATTAGCTTGGAAAGACCAAAGGCCTGATCTGTCTTGATCACAGCTTTCTCATCAGGGCCTTAAACAGTGCCCAACATAAACTAGATGCAGAATAAATACCTGTTGTATGAGTGGGTAAATTGATGAATAATTTACTCTTTATGTTCCCCTTCTTCTTTAAAGAAAAATTAAGAAACAGAAGTAACAGGATTTTTAAGGATTATGTCTTGAACTGTGTCCTCCCCCCAAAATAGATTCAAATTCTAATCCCTGGTACTTGTGAATGTAAGGCAACCTGAGAAATGTTTACCTTATTTGAAAGTAGGGATTTTGCAGCTATAGTCAATTTAACATGAGGTTATATTGGAGTAGACTGGGTGCTTAATCCCTTATGACTGGTGTTCTTAGGAGAAAAGAAGAGACATAATGATAGGAAGAACACTATGCGACAATATAGGTAGAAATTGTAGTGATGTATCTACAAGTCAAAGAAGACCAAGGATTGCCAGCAGCACTGGAAGCTGAGAGAGAGGTATGGAACTGATTTTACACTAGAGTCTTTAGAGACTAACACCCTGTTTACAGCTTAATTTAGTACTTCTAGGATCCAGAACTGTAAGCATAAATTTCTGTTTAAGCCACCCAGTTTATTACAGCCCAGGTGCCAACTTCTTTACAGCAGCCCCAGAAAGTGACACAGAGCTATTTATTGAGATGTATGTTTGCAGGTCTGAAATGATGGTTTCAGTTTTAAATATGTTAACTTTTAAATGCTTGTAAGACACATCTTGAAATACAACAAAGGGTTGACTTGTTAAGGCAGATTCCTAGGAATCGTAGACACTATCAAACACTAAATTTTACTAATGATTCACAATGGGTATAAGCAAACCCAGGCACAAATGCAATATTCGTCTTTGAAGGATCCCAGGGCCTGTCAGACACAGGTCCCTAATGCCATTCTCTTTCATGGGCATGCATTGGTATTGGAGTAACAGAAGGGCACTGACAGTATGTCCATGAGATCCATGCTGGTCCAGAGAACATTGCTTGGGTTCAGGGTTTCTTAGTTACTAGTTTTCTAGGGCTGCCATAACAAAGTGCCACAGACTGAAGGCTTAAACAACAGTAATTTATTTTCTCAAGTTTGTGGAGTCTGGAAGTTCAAGGTCAAGGTATTTGAAGGTTTGGCTTCTCCTGAGGCCTCTCTGCTTAGCTTGTAGATGGCTGCCTTCCTGCTGTGTTTTCACATGGCCTTTCTTCTGCATGTGCACAAGCCTGAGGTCTCTTCCTCTTCTTATAAAAACACCAGTCAGCTCCTGGACTCATTGATTTTTTTGAAGGGTTTTTTGTGACTCTATTTCCTTCAGTTCTGCTCTGATCTTAGTTATTTCTTGCCTTCTGCTAGCTTTTGAATGTGTTTGCTCTTGCTTCTCTAGTTCTTTTAATTGTGATGTTAGGGTGTCCATTTCAGATCTCTCCTGCTTTCTCTTGTGGGCATTTAGTGCTATAAATTTCCCTCTACACACTGCTTTGAATGTGTCCCAGAGATTCTGGTATGTTGTGTCTTTGTTCTTGTTGGTTTCAAAGAACTTTATTTCTGCCTTCATTTCGTTATGTACCCGGCAGTCATTCAGGAGCAGGTTGTTCAATTCCCATGTAGTTGAGCGGTTTTGAGTGAGTTTCTTAATCCTGAGTTCTAGTTTGATTGCACTGTGGTCTGAGAGACAGTTTGTTATAATGTCTATTCTTTTACATTTGCTGAGGAGAGCTTTACTTCCAACTATGTGGTCAATTTTGGAATAACTGCGGTGCTGGGAAAACTGGCTAGCCATATGTAGAAAGCTGAAACTGGATCCCTTCCTTACACCTTATACAAAAATTAATTTGAGATGGATTAAAGACTTAAATGTTAGACCTAAAACCATAAAAACCCTAGAAGAAAACCTAGGCATTACCATTCAGGACATAGGCATAGGCAAGGATTTCATGTCTAAAACACCAAAAGCAATGGCAACAAAAGGCAAAATTGACAAATGGGATCTAATTAAACTAAAGAGCTTCTGCACAGCAAAAGAAACTACCATCACAGTGAACAGGCAACCTACAGAATGGGAGAAAATTTTTGCAATCTACTCATCTGACAAAGGGCTAATATCCAGAATCTACAATGAACTCCAACAAATTTGCAAGAAAAAAAAAAACAACGCCATCAACAAGTAGGCGAAGGATATGAACAGACACTTCTCAAAAGAAGACATTTATGCAGCCAAAAGACACATGGAAAAATGCCCATCATCACTGGCCATCAGAGAAATGCAAATCAAAACCACAATGAGATACCATCTCACACCAGTCAGAATGGTGATCATTAAAAAGTCTGGAAACAACAGGTGCTGGAGAGGATGTGGAGAAATAGGAACTTTTACACTGTTGGTGGGACTGTAAACGAGTTCAACCATTGTGGAAGACAGTGTGGCGATTCCTCAGGGATCTAGAACTAGAAATACCATTTGACCCAGCCATCCCATTACTGGGTATATACCCAAAGGATTATAAATCATGCTGCTACAAAGACACATGCACACATATGTTTACTGCGGCACTATTCACAATAGCAAAGACTTGGAACCAACCCAAATGTCCAACAATGATAGACTGGATTAAGAAAATGTGGCACATATACACCATGGAATACTATGCAGCCATAAAAAATGATGAGTTCATGTCCTTTGTAGGGACATGGATGAAGCTGGAAACCATCATTCTCAGCAAACCATCGCAAGGACAAAAAACCAAACACCACATGTTCTCACTCATAGGTGGGAATTGAACAATGAGAACACATGGACACAGGAAGGGGAACATCACACACCGGGGCCTGTTGTGGGGTGGGGGGAGGGGGGAGGGATAGCATTAGGAGACATACCTAATATTAAATGACGAGTTACTGGGTGCAGCACACCAACATGGCACATGTATACACATGTAACTAACATGGAGAAACTGCACGTTGTGCACATGTACCCTAAAACTTACAGTATAATTGAAAAAAAAAACAAAACACCAGTCACATTTGATCAGGGCGTCAACATAGACAACTTCATTTAACCTTAATTCCCTCTTTAAAGGCCTTATCTCCAAACACACTCAGAGTAGGGGTTATGTCTTCAACATATAAATTTTTGGGGGGACACAATTTTCTTTTATAACATTCACTCATGAACGACCAAAGCAAAACAAAATGTTATAAAAGAAATTTTGCTTTGGTCATTCATGAGTGAATATACTGCATAAGTAACTTCCATTGACAAATTAGCTATATCTCATAAGTTCTAAGTATTTTTTTTTTGTTTTGTTGTTGTTTGTTTGTTTGTTTGACAGAGTTTCACTCTTGTTGCCCAGGCTGGAGTGCAATGACACTATCTCGGCTCACCACAACCTCCGCCTCCCGGGTTCAAGTGATTCTCCTGCCTCGGCCTCCCAAGTAGCTGGGATTACAGGCATGTGCCACCATGCCTGGCTAATTTTGTATTTTTAGTAGAGATGGGGTTTCTCCATGTTGCTCAGGCTGGTCTCGAACTCCCAACCTCAGGTGATCTGCCTGCCTCGGCCTCCCATAGTCCTAGGATTACAGGTGTGAACCACCGCACCCTGCCCAAGTGTTTTAACAATAAGCAATGTTGACGGTGAACATTTCTACAAGAGCAAATAGTCAATATTGTCACTACCTCTTGCACCTAGAGATGAAAGGAGTTACACACCCACTGTGAATTCTTTCCTTCCTTTCTAGAATTTCAAATGGAATAGTCCAAAAGCATTTGGTAGGAGGATTTGAAGTTCAGGAGAGAGATCCAACTTAAATACACAAATCTAAGAGTCATCACTATGATTGTGGTAGGTGAAGCTATAGGAATAGACAAGCTCATTCATAGAATTCATCTAAAAAGTACATACTACTTACAGTGTCTTGCACATAAGCACTTGATTAGTGTTCACTGAGTGAACTTACAGACAGCTCCACTTAAAACTGCTAAATTATCAACAAATTTGGAGAAACAGTTGATGTAACAGAATATACATTGGAATTCCAATATTTAGAATTTCAGCTAATCTTGAACAATATTCATTGGAATCTCCACAATCTAATGAGCATGGTAAGGAGCTAACAGACGCCTGCTCAACGGCTTACTAAAGGAGACAAAAACGGACCCCATGATGTGCACTGCACTGCCCAGCCAATATATAAGGTTGGTGCAAAACTAATTGTAGTTTTTGCCATTGAAAGTAATGGTACCTCTGCAAGTACTCTTAAAGTCCCCAAAGCAGCAGAGTTAGGAGAAGAACAAGTCAATGAACAGCATCCACCACTTTCCCTACTGAATCAGGGAAGGGAAAAAGTTTTGAATGAATGGGGGGATGGAGGCGAAGACTTAAATTGTGCAGAAAGAGATTGGAAAGCTACAGAATCTATGTTTCTGTTATCGTTAATAAGACTACATTCAGAAGCTTATGTGTTTATAGTAACAAAATAGCAATTCAGGTTCAACAAAAATATTACAAAGCAATTATGTAAATATTTTTCATGATTACATACATATGTATACACACACCACATCTATACATACATATATGTCTGTATGTATAGGTGTATGTATACACACAAATATGCATTTGTGGAGATATACTATGTATTAAATACATATTATATATAATATTAATGTATTTATGTACCTGAAAATATACAATATTCATTTAATTATTTTAAGGCCAATCTATCACTTTCTTTTGATTATTATTTTTTAGGCTTTTTTAAAAACAGAATTTATTTTTCAGAATTCAATTTAATTTAAACAATATTTGAATGACTTATGAACAAAGACATTTTCTATGTTATTATATGCAAAGACAAGCGAAACAAGACTTTTCTTCAAGAATTCAGGCGCTGAAATGAAAGCAACGATACAAACTACTGAAATTTAACAGAAGTGCCATAAATGTATAAAGCAATGTATAAATACCAAAACAAAAAAGCACGCCCAGTAGTTTGGAATTAGCAAGAGTTTACTGCAGGATCAGGAGAAAATCTATTTGCAAGGACAACAGAAGTAACATTTGGAGAAAAGAATTAGTGCATGAAGGTCTTCAATCAGAAAGTAAGGTTATTTATGCCTGAAAAAAGGTCTCACTGAATGTTAGACCACCAAAATGAAGCTGAATAATTTTTTTTAATCAAAAGGGATTTTCAAAAAAATAAACTTTAATTAATTTGTGATAAGTATCATCAAGACAACTTATAAAGGAATTCACTAACTTTGTTAAGGCACAATTTCAAGTATTCACTATACTCTCCCAAGGTTTCAAAACTTTATTGAATTTCAGAAAAATGGAAGGGCAAAGAATGATCTTGATAGTAAAGTAATATTGAAACAAACTCAATTTCTGTAGGTTCAATTACATGAAATTTTCAATATCTAGACATTTTACCTATGCAAGCCAATCTTCTATGGTTCAATCAATAAATAAAATTCCATTTATAAATTATAGTTGTGCTTTCCAAAATATTGCATTTAGGATATATTGTAAGTTCTACATGCAGTTATTCTTGTAAAATGTCTAAGGCAGTAACAGAGCAATTATAATTTGAAACCAAATTCTTGCGATTCTAACATACTGAGGTTAAAGTCATCTAAAATATAATATGGTCATACGCATTTAATGCAGGGTAACATTGACTGGTATTTACTGTATTCTGAAGGATAAAATGTGGGTATAATGAAAAAATTGAAAAAATAATACATCTTAGAGTAATCATAGACTGGTCCAAAATTTTAATAGAAGCAGCTTTCATTCTCCACCATTGCCTCTTATATTTTTAGCTAGCTCATGTAAGAACTGACGACATCTCAATAAAAATATCAGAGGCATGGTATTCAAAGCACATTAGCGTTGTGATGTTGTAATTCCAATTTCTTTGCTGGGTGCACATTAGTCTTGCAGGATCGTGCAGCTGGCAAAGGATGAGATGCTATGAAACAGCTATTTAAATGTGAATTGCTCTTCAAGCTGCCACTGGTAATGGTGAACTCTAAAAGAAATTTTCTCCATTTCAGAAAATTAATAATCTCTGGGGAAAAATATTCTCAAAGAGTCACTTAAGATGCAGGGTACTTTCCTTTAGTTTATAAAAATTACCACATCTTTGAAATCATACCACCCCACAGATGTATCCTTGAGCCTTTATATTTTCATAAACTTTATTAAATTCAATGACTTCAAGATCTATTCAACCATACAACCTTAAAACAAAGAAAGTGATTTGTTTTTTCTTCTTTGATACACCTAAGCCCAGGTATAGAAATATTACTAGACGTAATAACTCTGGAAATCGTAAGCAATTTTATAGTCTCTATCTTTCACAGCCTTAAGAATAGATCGTTGTTAAAAGAGGCCAAATTCAATAACACATTTTTAAATCTGAAAATATGCATTTAAGAAAACTCAGTGCTGTTTGAACCCATACGATTAATTTACCATGGGAAAGAAAAAAGTAAATGTAAAGAGGAAACCCTGAATAATTCATTTATATTAATTCATAAAAGGAGTAGTTGTCCTATCATTGTACTTTCACTGCCTTTTTTAGAAACTGGTTTTGTATTACCATATAATTGATCAAATATTGCTGTTCTTATTTAAAAGAATATATTAAAATTAGCTATGCCTTATTTGAATCAATTTTATGTTAAAAGTAGACAGTAATTTCTTTGAATTTAAAAATACTCCTTAGTGGTCACTTTGAAAGGCTGCCTGATATATTTACCCGTTTTTGTGTTTGAAGAATCCCCCTGCCTTTTACTGCCTGGGCAAAGGACAGAAAATATTTCTCCTGTAAGTGCTGAAAATACCAGGTATCTGTTTTCCCAGCTTTCACTTGGGATACAGGCATGTGGCTTTAGATCCTTCAAGCAGATGTAACACACCCAACCACAAGTAAGGAGCTAAAGACGCAAGTGGAAGGCACTCTCTCTATTTCCCTATGACACATGTATTCTCTCTCTCTCTCTCTCTCCCCCCTTCTCTGTCTCCCTCTCTCTCTCATTCTCTGTCTCCCAGAGAGATCATCAGTCTCCTGGAGCAAAAAAAAAAAAAAAAAAGATCTTTGAATGCATACTCAGGTGCACTGGCATTGAGTTTCTACAGCAGATGAGTTTGCAGGGCAAACTAGCCTCCAGTGTTTAGGGAACAGAGCAGCTATTTCCTTCTCAGAATGTTTTTTGGTGTGCTTAGAACATTGGTTTGGAAGTTGTGTAGTTAACCAGTTCTTTCAATTTCTTAGTGACTCAGGAGTTATCCAATAAAATTCCCTTTCTCCTTAGTCAAAGAAGTCTTCTGTTCCACATAGCTATGAAATCTGACTAAACAACATTTTTTTTTTCTACACGTTCTTTGCCCATTATAGTCTTCTGCGTTTCCTAGTTCACTTTATGTAGTAACTTATTGGTTCTCAGTAGTGGCATGATTTTTGTTGGCTTGTTTAATGGCGGACATTTTTAAATCAAGATCTATAAAGGAACTCAAGATCTAAATATCTAAGATTTTTAAAGAGCTTCTCTGGTTAAAGCTAGAATGGTGGCTTTGAAGATCTGGTCCCTTGGCCACCTCTTGATACACAATAGCATTTCTTAGGAAATATTGCTGAAGCCTTGGGTTCAGGGTAGCATCTTAAGAAACCACTGCTAACAGCATCCTTAGTTTCTACCCAGTAAATGCAAATAGGCAATCTCTCACCCCACCCTAGCCAGTTGTGGTCTCCAGACATTGCCAAATGTCCTGTAGGAGGAAAATCACCCCGACTTGGGAACCACTGATTTAAATCATCAATGATGTATGGAAGTCAATTGCTTACAATGACTTATGACCCCATTCATTTACTCAACAGAATTGTGGAATTCCCACTATATTGAAGACATGGAAAATGAGAATGAAAACTCAGTTCCTACTCTCAAAACTGTACAATCTTGTAAAAATGTTAAGAATTTAACAGGTGAAAACCTTATGCAAACTTTTTTTTTTCCAACAGTTTAAGGTAACAATAACAGACCAGGACACAGGAATAAATAATTAATAGCAAAATCTTATAAATGAAGAAATAGTTTCTGGAAGGAGGTAATCCCATCAGGTAAGAGAGATCAGGGAATGTCTGTGGAAAAGGTAGAATTTGAGTTGAGTTCTGAGGAATTTTTCATTTCAGTAGTAATGAAAAATTGAGATTGTACTTTGGGTAGTACACCAAATTCAAAAAGGAGACAGTGACAAACCAGTTTGACATGTAAGTACAGTGTTAGTGGGGGAATATAGAAACACATAGCTAAAACCTTGGTTTAGGAACAGATTAAAGATAGTACTAGAGTTTTCTACGAGAAAGGAAAGCACGAGCCCTAACCTCCATTTGAGGCTGCGTTTGCCTTGCAAACACCTTGCTTTACTTTGATCGTAGTTTGGCTGGACAGTTTGAAGCAACAAGTGGGGAATTAAGGCGACTGAGATCCATCCTCAAGCCTCCTCTTGGCACACTGCTTTTGTAGCAGGTGGTAACAAATTTTGAGGGCCAGGCTAAGGAATTTGAATGCAAGACAGCAAATTAATATTTTTGAGTACAGGAAAGACATAGGCAGGATTTTAAAATTTTGAATCTGGGGCCAGGCGCGGTGGCCGATGCCTGTAATCCCAGCACTTTGGGAGGCCGAGGCAGGCGGATCACGAGATCAGGAGATCGAGACCATCCTGGCTAACACGGTGAAACCCCCGTCTCTACTAAAAATACAAAAAATTAGCCAGGCGTGGTAGCGGGCGCCTGTAGTCCCAGCTACTGGGGAGGCTGAGGCAGGAGAATGGCGTGAACCCGGGAGGTGGAGCTTGCAGTGAGCTGAGATCGCACCACTGCACTCCAGCCTGGGCGACAGAGTGAGACTCCATCTCAAAAAAAAAAAAAAAAAAAAAAAAAATGAATCTGATTTAGCGTGGAGGGGATAAAAGAAGAAAGAATGGACATTCAATGTCCATTAAGGAGGTTACAACAATCATCCAGATGGAGACAAAAGGAGTACAACAATCATCCAGATGGAGACAAAAGGAGCCTGAATTAGGAGCATTACAACCAATATGGAGAAAGGATTGAAATGAGAGAGAATTAAAACTAAGAGTCAACTGAACAGGTTGATAATCCATAACAGTTGTGAATATAGAGAAAAGGCATTAATGTTGCCACTATGTCTTGAAGGTCAGCACCACTAAAATATTCATATCATTAAGGAAAATGGATCAATAAATTATAGGAGTTGGTATTAGGGGAAAAAAAGAATTAAATAATGTATCTATGAAGTTCTGGATGACATATAACAAAATGCCCACCAGTCACATAAAAACATGAAGCTGAGAAGACAAAGCTAAAGAAATAAATTTGAGTCTTTTTTTCCCCCCCAAGACACAGTCTTGCTCTGTCACCCAGGCTGGAGTGCAGTGGCGAGATCTTGGCTCACTGCAACCTCTGCCTCCTGGGTTCAAGCAATTCTCCTGCCTCAGCCTCCCACGTAGCTGGGATTACAGGCTGCTGCCACTGCACCCGGCTAATTTTTGTATTTTTAGTAGAGACAGGGTTTCACCATGTTGGCCAGGCTGGTCTCGAACTCCTGACCTTGTGATCCTCCCGCCTCGGCTTCCCCTAGTATTACAGGCGTGAGCCACCATGCCCAGCCGGGAATATTTTTTAATGACAAACTCAGTGATTAGATTTTAGTTCTTTAAAGTTTCTATAAATTTAAAGTAGTATGAACATTTAACATATTGAATTATGAAAACACTAGTCAAAGCAGCACAGTATGTTATAGTTGGATCGTGGAGAAAGTCCGGCAACACATGTCAGTAAAATTGTATTGCTCAGGAATATTCCAAGTGTCCAGATGAATTATAAAGCAGCTCCACATAATCAAAATAATTTTGTCACACGTTCTAACAGAGTATCCTTAATATTCTGCTCTCTTGAACAACCATCATGACCTCTTTACAGATCTTGGAAGTTATAAACTCTTCCTCATTCCCGTTACCTGACTTTCTTTGCAAATATATAATTGAGTTTGGTTTGAGCTATACATTTTGCCTCATTTACTGTGACTCTTCTTGTTTTCAGATTCATATTTGAACGTCCCTTCAAATGTAATAATCTTTTGAAGTTTATCTACGTGTGTACCTCTGGAAGGTGTTGTGAATACATTTGGGAGAGGGGAATGAGAAGCTTGGCTTGTTCTCTCGTATGTAACAGAAACTGTAAAATTGATCTGTCAAGGACTGAACTGTGGTCTCCGGCCTCTGGCCTAGAGTTTCTCTTACTTCTTGCATGCAGATTTTCAGTAAATGACAAAAGCCACATTACAGATTTTTAATTCCAACATTTATCCACATAAGCAAAAGTCAAATTCTGTTGCTATACTCCATTGATTGCTAAAATCACACCCCACTTTGACCATTTTTTCCTAAATTTTATAATTGATTATATTAGTATGTTGAAAAATAGGCTATATGCCTTTATCATGAAATTCCTAAGATCTTTCAGTTTCCTAATGATACTGTTGCCCTTGACTTCTAATGGCTTCTTTTACAGAGTTCTCACACTTTATCCCTAGTTTGGACAGATTGCTTTCTAGGACTGCAGCACAGCTGTCACCCTAGCCATTTGTTTTCATTGCCTACTTTAGTTCATCTTTTCTTAGATTTCACATTTTGCTCCTTCAAGAATTTGTAGTCCCTTGTTCCTGGCTAATAGCTGTGATTATTTCCTTTATTTCCTGAGTTTGTAAAATGTGTACTTGTAGAGATTTTGCATTTCTGGAAATACAATATTTTACCCCATTGTTAAACGAAAAGGTTGGCTGGAGAAATAGAAACCTGTGTACATTCGTCCCCCAACCCCTAGAACTTAGAACTTTCTAGTATCCAGCATTGGTAATAGCAAGTGTGGAAGAAAACCGATTCTTGATCCTTCATAGATGATCTTTTTTGATTGTTTCTTAATAGAACCCTCTTTTGTGCTGTGAAGTTTTACCATTTTCAAATTTTACAATTTTGCGTTCTGATATTTTACAAAGAAATGCCTAGGTGGCAGTATTTTTATTTCATTTTGCTATGGTTTTTGGTGCCCTTTCGATATCAAAACTCATGTTTTATTTTAACTCTCAAATTTTATTCCATTTAAACATTCTCCTTCCTTATTCTTAACATTTTTTAATATTTGAAATTACCTATATTAATACTCTAGTCTCACATTTTCCCTCTTTGACTTGTTGGTAAATATTCTAAGAAATAATATTTCTAAATCTTCCTTCCAGGCAGTCTTGGTTATTTTTACCTCGGCACAAATTTCTGACATCAGAACTCTAGCTTGCTCTCACTTTGTGTTTTTTCAAAGCTACAATTTTACTTCGTCATCCTGAGTTCTTTGTAGTATACTAAATAGGAGAAGATAAATTTTAGGTTCTATGAATGTCTACTTTATTTGAATAATATTGTTTCTATGTTCATCTTGAGCCTAAACTTCTAAAATTCTAGTCTTTCTCAAAACTCTGGCTATCCTGGCTGATTTCTCACTTATACAAATGAAGATTTAGGCTGATTCATATTGCTATTGTGTTGGTGTGTTTTCCTACACTGCTTCTCTTCTGAAAGAGAGAATGGAATTAGATCTTTGTGTACAGGAGTGGCTGAGGACAGGATTTATGTTGAGGTGCCACAAGGGTCAAACCAGTAGAGTGTGCTGTCGAGAAGTATCAAGTCAATGAGTGTCAGCCAGAATATTAATGACACTGTTCTTCTAGAAAGTTGGTTCAATTTATTTCTATAAAAGTTCTCAGGCTATAATGGCAGAGATGAACACTTACAGTAGATAATCACTCCCTGCACCTGGGGGAGGTGGTAAGGGACCAGTTGTCACTCATGTTCCCTAGAATATTTAATTACGCATCCTGATTACTTTCCACATCCCAAATCTGCTCCCAATTTCTCTTACTCTGATGCTGGAGTCATTCTATGGTTCTGCCAACAAAAACGTCTCCTACATCTACGGTAGCCTTCTCTGAATATTCTGGCCCGTGGCTGCCTTTTTTTCTGTCAGATGTATCAACATTGTCCCGTATTTTTTAATTTTCTATTCTATCTATTTCTATCCACATATTTCATTGTTTGATGGTCCTCTTTCTGTTCATGTTTCCATCGTTCTTTTCAAGTTTTTACTGTCCAAAACGTCAGTTAAGAACCACTTACTGGGAAAACAGAGAAGATAAACATTATGTTTGTTGAGTTTGACCTCTGAGAGGAAGGCAGTAAAGGTTGTTTTGTTAAATCATGGCAAAAGATAAGCTTCCAAAAGTAACTGGTATTTTGAAAAACCAAGACACGCGCGTGCATGCACACACACGCACGCACGCACACACACACGTATTACTGGACAGGAAACAAACCTGCTTATTGCTCCTGAGGGAGACACTAGCTCTATCTCCCCAGGCTGTTCTTCATGCAAATATCTTTGAAGAGAATCTGTGAAGATACTGGAACAAAGACACTCATGCCTCTGTAATCGAGACATGCAGTAACAGGAAGGCCCATAGAAAATTGTGTCCCAGCAGTGTTTTGGCCTAAGCACTAATACATTTTTCTGTTGAAATAATCTGGACCCAAGTATCCACCATGACCCTCTCTATTGGAAAAAGAGAGCCTGACTTAGAACCAATGCAAACTTAGCAGCCTATTGGGCCTTCTGCTCTAGGCTGAGCCTGTTTTCGTTTTTCACTTCAACAGGACAAAACATCAGGCTCAAATATAAAAAACCCAAGAGACAAAGGGGGCGAATAAGGCCATGTGCCCCAAAAAGGTTTATTTACATCACTCTCGTTAGCCTTCCATCATCTTGAGGTTTAAATGTGCCAGCAAACAAGTGTCTTTATCGAATCCTGATGAAATGTGGAAAGGATAGATAACTCCTCTAGAAACCAGTACACTTTTTCTTTTTTTTTCTTTATTTTTTGCACTGTCCTTAAAGGATGCATCAAATTTGGCTTTGTAACATAATTATCTGGGTTGAAGCCTTTACCCTCTGATTTCTTAACTTCTTAGAAGCAAAAATTATGTCTTAATTATCTATCAGAGGTATGTCCTAAAAGACTGTTTGGAAACAATATGTTAAAATCAGTTAAAGTGAAAAATGCATCTCAAATAAAAGAAAAGATGTCTCTAATAAAAGACAACTTTTAAAACTTGATTGGCAATCAAAATGTACATTCTTTTTCAATATATATCAAAATATTATGATATTAAATAACATTTTATTGTGCTTAGTCAGCATTTCATTACATTAAGATAAACACTTATTCGTTGAAATTTTATTCTTCACTATTTAAATATAGAAAAGTAAAATTTTATGAGAATTGCAAACATCTCAGAACAGAATATTGATTTTATATCAGTGTGCTTCAAATATGAAAAATATTATCATTTGGTCAATTATATCATACAATTTGAGAAATGATAAGATCTAATATAGTTTTCTGAATATAAATCATAACATGTGTGACATATTGAAAATGACCATATATTGTGATATATATTGAAAACAAGTGCATATTCAATGATTAGATTCAGTGTTTTTGCACAGAAGAAATGTATAACATTCGTGGGTATATTATACAAATAAAACTGTAAACCAATATACCATAGAATCACAGAAATTAAAGAGGTGTGTTCTTTTGCTTAATGCAGCCACATTGCTTTGAAAATTTAAGAAATAAGCATCAGAGAAGCTGATGATTTGACCACGGTCCTCCTGCACGAACCCAGCAAAATTCAGACACCAACCTAAATCTTTTGACTCCTAATAAATTCTTTCGTCATAATAACAAGAAGTCTCTCTATTTTTTTTTATAAGAATATCACTGTATTTATTTTCCTTCAGGTAATTTTTCTATGGCTTCAACATTTTCTCTTCAAAATTAGAAGAAAAATATCCCAAAGTTTAG
Source organism: Homo sapiens (assembly GCF_000001405.40). Taxonomy (NCBI): domain Eukaryota; kingdom Metazoa; phylum Chordata; class Mammalia; order Primates; family Hominidae; genus Homo; species Homo sapiens. Next base: position 18,049,868 of record NC_000005.10, on the reverse strand, counting down.
AACTGGATCACTTGGCCCTTTCTCTTCCTATCTCCTCCCAGTTCAAAATGCTTGCATCTCTTAATGGCCAGCATCCTCTTGGATCTGCAGTTAGGCTCAACACATTGTCCAGCCTTAGCACAATCTTCTTTGTGGTCTTAGCCTTCTTCCAGAAAATTGGCTTTGTCTGCCCACCATAGCCACTCTGCTTCCGATCATAGTGCCACTTTCCCTAGGCATACAAAGAATCCTTACCCTTCTTATACTGTGTCACTTTGTGAGGCTGATGCTTGCCACACTTCTTACAGAAGGTTCTTCCGGTTTTAGGTACGTTGACCATCTTTGCAGCAGGGCTGTTTTGTCTACATGATGAGAACAAGAAACGGCATCGGAGACCCTTGCCTCCGGCAGCTCTCGCCTAACAGGAAAGGGAAGAAAGAGCTCTCTTTTTCATAACTAATGAATTTAAATAGATTTTGAGCCCATTTTCAAAACTAGAAGGGGAAAGGGAAATATTTTAAAAGTTACAAATATGATTAGGTCAAATAATCACTAAGACGGCACATCTATTAATAGAACAGGAATATAGGATGCCATATGCATCTCAAAAATCTCAGGACTTTTAGAAAACACTAGCATTCTCTATGCACCCACTTGCAAAAAAAAAAAAAAAAAGTTAGCATTGTCAACAAGTATCTGCTTCTCTTTTGCACAAGTCTTTTTGTTTAAGGAGAGTGTTTCTTTATTGTGATAGAAACACCTCAAGTAGTGTTCTCCCATATTACAGATTAAGAAGATGAGATCCAAAGAGGTGAATGACCTACCAACATGCCCAGAACTAGCAAATGCAATTGCAAGAACAATTCCTGATAACAGGCTAAGTATTAAATCACTAAAATAATAATTAAATCACTTGCTCCATAAAAACATAACTATTCTTGAAACTTTACTTATAAACTTTCAAATTAAAAATAAGTGATAGTCAGATTCCTTTTTATCCCACTATGGATGCATATCCATAATTGTTTAAATTTATTTAATTTTACCTTTTGCTATATGCCTTCTCTTATATTTGGACCTTTCTCAGCTTTTCTTCATAATAACCTTGTTCCAATCACAGCACAATAACCTTTACCACTGTTTCAACAACAGAGTCTCATCAACCATTTTCATCTGTTAAAAGGAAGCACTCCTAGCTGACCTCAATATTTACCCTGTCTTTACTGAGTGAAAGCTGGTGACCTCCAGCCTGTGTTGGTTTTGCTCCAAAGAAGCTTGTGTAAACCTGCATTGTACACTAGCACATCCTGGAAGCGTTATAAAAAATACCAGTGCTAGAGCCTAAAGCCAGAAAAGTCAGATCTTTGAAGATATAATTTTAAACCTCCCCACTTGATTCTGATGTGTTATTAAAGCCACTCCGTCTAGGGTACTTTGTTATATCAGCCCTAAGACACCTCCTCTTTCTTACAGCTCTTCACTTTAATATTCTAAACTAAGTATTTTCCACACATGGACCAAGCCCCTACATTCAAAATTCCATAGACTAGAACAGAAGTTTTAAAGCCAACAATGACATTCTGTGAAAAGAAACCCCAACATTTCTTAAGAACAATGAACATATAAACCACTTGTATGTGTTTGACTGCTAAGGAGTAGGTATTCAACAAATAACTATTGAATAAGGGAAAAAATAAATGCAGTAATAAATGAAAAACAAAGTAACATACCAACCGATAAGGGATCCTTAAAGTAAGTGTGTTTAGAACTACGCATTTAATTGAATACCGGGCACGAGATATAGGATGGGATGCCAGATCAGGGAACTGTTTTGAGGGAAGAGCTTCATTAGCAAAGTATTTGTTAGATTGAACCGTAAGAAATCAATAATATTTGACTATTATGAACCACAAAGATGGCAGTTTCATGTTACAAACTAATAATTTCTTATGAGTGGCTTATGGGTATTTCACACTGTTCATCAGTTTCATTTATTTGATTTACCGCTAGTTATTAATATTTATACTTATGACATTTTTATGAGAATCAAACTAAGCAATGGAGCTTAAAGCACAGAGATGAAATATTTTACTTAAAATTTTAAAACGCGTGTAGATGAAAAACAGTAATATGTGAGTGATTGAATCAATTTAAGGTTGTTCCTCAGGGGTAAATCTCAGCATATTTTTAATATATGGTAGTGATATAGCCTCAGGACATTTTAGTATCACATTTTTCTGTGACTATGTGAATTTCACAAACCCAGCTGCTACAGTAAACCAGTTGTACCTCTGGGCAATTACAAAAAAAGTGGCCCTGCCTGTGGAGGACACAGCTTTAATAAGGTCAAATGGCTTGAAGAGCAGAGTCCAGGATTAATCTGAGCTCCCACTTGCCACCCTGCCCCAGTGCACTTATGCAGTGAACAACCTGCACAACGGTATATGAAGAACATATACTGTTGACTACTGAACAACATGGGTTTGAACTGCACGGTTCCACTTATATGCAGATTTTCTTCCACCTCTGTCACTACTGAGACAGTAAAACCAACACATCCTCTCCCTCCTCCTCCTCAGCCTACTCAGTGTGAAGACAACCAGGATGAAGACCTTTATGATGATCCACCTCCACTTAATAAGTAGTAAATATACTTTCTTTTCCTTATGATTTTCTTAATCGCAGTTTCTTTTCTCTAGCTTATTATATGAATATAGTATATAATAATATAACATATGAAATATGTGTTAATCAACTATTGATGTTACCAATAAGGCTTGCAGTCAACAATAGGCTATTAGTAGTTAAGTTTTTGAGGAGTCAAAAGTTATAAATTTTCAACTGTGCAGGGAGTTGGCAACCCTAACCCTCACGTTGTTCAAAGGTCAACTGTGTATAATTGTCTAAATCAGAAATTATTTCATTTCCTTGCCAGTTGTGACTTTATTGCCATAATATAAGAAATGAGGCAGACATTACAGGATAAGGTACGTGTTTAAAAACCAAAGTATCACACTTTACTAGTCAATGATTGCTTATATAAAGGTACACTGAACAGTGTTCAGGTAGCACCACAGGAGATTTAGGTAGTGAAAGTATTTGTAAAAATAAAAATAAGGCCGGGCGCGGTGGCTCACAACTGTAATCCCAGCACTTTGGGAGGCCGAGGCAGGCGGATCACGAGGTCAGGAGATCGAGACCATCTTGGCTAACACGGTGAAACCCCGTCTCTACTAAAAATACAAAAAATTAGCTGGGTGCGGTGACGGGCACCTGTAGTCCCAGCTACTCGGGAGGCTGCAGGAGAATGACGTGAACCCAGGAGGCGGAGCTTACAGTGAGCAGAGATCGCGCCACTGCAGTCCAGCCTGGGTGACAGAGCGAGACTCCGTCTCAAAATAAATAAAAATAAATAAATAAATAAATAAATAAATAAATAAATAAATAAATAAAAATAAAAAAAGAAAGTATTTGTGTGTGTGCTCCTGTGTGTGATATGCCCAAGTATATCTAGAGCCACTACTTTTTGATATATGTATGCTATGGCTAGGCAAGAAGGACTTTACCTGCACCTTGGAGTCTGCTTCAATTGTGACCCCTTTAAAACCTCTCCAAGGACAAGAGTAATTGGCCATAATGAGATACAATAATTACTTCATTTGAAGCCAATTAAATGAACTAGTACCTGCACACAATTTAGCTGAAATATTGAAGGGAAATCTGACCATTGATTTTGATATGAGAAGACTCCCAGGAATTCTGTGAAATACATCTCTTTTTTGAAAGGAGTACGGAGATTTTTGAAGCCACATACTTGAGAGCAATCATAAATGAACACAATATGCCACTCCCAAGTTTTCTCCAAGACAGGAAAAAATAATTAACTAAGAAAATAAATAGTTAAATAAATATAAGCAATTATACGATAAGTATGAAGGAACTTCAGGCATTAAAGAAATAGGAAGTTGAGACTCTGAACTGCCTGGGCAACCACAAAGCAAGTGTTCTTATCCATAACACTGAATTTTGAAATGGGCACTGTAAGTTTGGAAGTCTTAATGTGCTTTGAAAATTAATTCTTTCATTCTTGTTAAAAGTTATATATTACTGGCCGGGTACGGTGGCTCCCGCCTGTAATCCCAGCACTCTGGGAGGCCGAGGTGGGCAGATCACGAAGTCAGGAGATGGAGACCATCCTGGCTAACATGGTGAAACCCTGTCTCTACTAAAGATACAAAAATTAGCCGGGCGTGGTGGCGGGTGCCTGTCGTCCCAGCTACTTGGGAGGCTGAGACAGGAGAATGGCGTGAACCTGGGAGGCGGAGTCTGCAGTGAGCAGAGTTCGCGCCACTGCACTCCAGCCTGGGCAACAGAGCGAGACTCTTGTCTCTCAAAAAAAAAAAAGTTATATATTACTCAGAAACTATAAACACTTGTCTCTGGATAGTGTTAATTTATTTTCTTAATGATACTTAATAGTCTAATATCTCATTCAGCTAAATGAGTTTAAACTAAACTTTAATAGTTTAAAAGGGGATTATGCTATTTCAAGTAATACTAACCAGAGGAAAAGCCACCATTCCAGAAAAACCTCACAATTTTAATTATTATATTTTATGACTGTAATATTGTAATACACATTTGCAGCAGATATATTGGTTTCCAGGGAAAAAACACTGCAATCTTAATTTTAAGATCTAACAAAATGCAACTGCTCATCTGCAAGAAAAAAGCAATGTGGTCGTATGTTATTCTTGAAGGTATTTCTATATTTAAATTTTCTTTTTATTATAAATATCAACATTTCAGGATTCTAAATAGTAAATAGCTTTGCAATCAAAAGATATTTAGGGAAAAACTGATTTCAAATATCTTTGAGTAGGAATGTCTGGTAATTAAGTCCTAAACTTTCTACAAAAAATTACAGTCCACCTACAACAGTTCTGGTACAAAAGTAACTTCTTGAATAATTAGACTGGCTTTGTTCTTTCCTGGAATCATCTATTAGGCAGCTAACTGCCAGTCTAGAAAAATTTTTAGGAAGCAAAGTAATGACCAGTGGGTCTTATCTATAGCATTAGAATGTGATCATGCATGCCTAAGAGGTGATTTGATATTTAAATGTGTATATATATTTCTATATCAAGGTCACTAAAATGAGGAGGAAACTTAATATGACTACAATATCATATGAGCCAAAACAGATATTTATAAAACTGCATATTGAGATGAAATCTGATCTCCATGCTCGTCTCTCTATTGTACAACTGACGCATGTTGACTATGAAACTTTTAAGACCTAATTTTAATTTTGCTCATTGTGTGTGTGTGTACAGTTCTGGTTGGGTATTTATAAAACACATGTAATTTGTCTAGTCTCTAAAAGGAAAAAAAAACTATTTTATGTTGTTTTACAGTTATTTTTAATACAATAATTAATTTATGTATGTGTTATCGAGTTCATATACTAACATATACTTAACAAGAGAAAAATCAAGCTCTACAGAATAAGAATTTTAGAATATTATAATATAAAAATTATAAAAAGTTGATTGAGTAGAAAAACAAATGCTATCTTGCCAATAAATCGAGGTAATTTAAAAATGTTCCTGAGTGATGGTTTTAAGAATCAGTCATATCAAACCATTTTGGAACAGAATATTCCACTTCTGTTGATAGCATTTCAATATAGAAAAAGAAAAAAATGTTTCAAAACCATTTTATGAAGCTTTGATATCAGAGTTTATTTGATGAAGGTCAAAACCCAATGAAACTCCCAAATATAGATTTAAACCTTACAAATAGAGATGAAAAACTTCTAGATAAAATATAACCTGAATATGTTGAAAGATATAGCCCATAATCAGAAAGGATATATTCCAGAAATGAAAAAAATAAGTGATATTAGAAAATCTATCTATATAACTCATTACACCTCTAGATTTAAAATTTTTAAATAATATTTAGATATATAATAAAAGGCATTTGAAATTTGAAAATACATTTCTATTAAAGATTTTTTTAATACTCTAGGTAGAAATATGTTTTATTTTTATTATAAAGGTGTTTATCTCCAGTCAATGGCTAAGAATATTTACAAAGATGAAACATTACAAGGATTTTTAGCGATGGAATCTCAAAAAAAAAGAAAAAAAATGAAGAAGGAGGGGAGGGGAGGGGAAAGAGAAGGGAAGGGAAGAGATCAAGAAATTTAATTATATAAATCCTAAACAAACAGTGCTTTCTGGGGTCACAGGAGAAAACACATAGGGCATCACTAAATCACTTCACCTTGCTTCCTAACAATCCCCAACCACAAGATGGCCCTGAGTAATCAGAGGGTAATTCCATTCCCTGTTTGTGGTTGATTCAGGAACACAGGTCTAAGCCTTATGGCAAAGAGTTCATGAAAAGGAGAGTAATTCAAGAAGAAGACTGTCACTGGATCAGGGAGCAGGAGGTTAGCTGAGGAAGGGTTTCATAAACTAAAGACAAAACCACAGGAAGGAACAACTTCTTTATCCTCCCTCTGGATATTACCGTCTGTGCTGTGAAGCCTTGAAATCTTGCAGCCATCTTATTTGACTGAAGATAAAGTTGGCCCATAGAATTCAGCACTGAAGCATTAAGACAACCCCAAAGCCATCTTCCTCTTGGATGTCTGTTTATACGAGAGAAGAAGCCAGCTTTCACTGGGTTTTCTATTCCTTATAATCTAAGCAGGGGTCAGCAAACTTCAGAAAAGTTCCTGTGAGTAAATATTTTAGGCTCTGTGGATCACACAGTCTCTGTTTTTCAGCTCTGCCATTTCATTGCAAAAGGCAATACGTAAACAAAGAGTCACAACTGTGTTCCAGTACATCTTTATTCACAAAACTAGGCAGTTAGGATACACTCCCATGTTTTCTTCTGTAACTTCTGTAGTGTTAAGATTTACATTCAAGTCTTTGATCCATTTTGAGTTAAATTTTGGCATAAGAGACAAGGTGTGGGTATGATCCAGCACCATTTGTTGACAAGACCATTCTTTCTCCACTGAATTGCTTCTGTCTCTGTCAAAAATTCATTGACCATATTGTGTATAAATCTACTTCTGGATCCTCCATTCTTGTACCTTGATTAGTCTTTCAATATTATACTGCTGATTACCATAGATTTTTTAAAAATCTTAAAATTAGATAGTATAAAAGCCTTCCAAATTTGCTCCTCTTTTCCAATAGTATTTATTCATTGTCATACAAATTTTAGGATCAGTTCATCAATTCCTACTAAAAAATTGAGAATTTTGATAGGAATTGTGTTGAATTTATAGATTATTTTGGGGAGAACTGATATCTTAACAGTATTGAGTTTTTTGATCCAGGACCAGGATATAGCTAACAATTTATTTGCATTATATTTATTTCTGTAGGTAGTGTTTTCTAGTTTTCAGTATACAGGTCTGACACATCTTTTGTTAGATGTGCCACTATGTATATAATATTATTTGTGCTATTATAAATGGTATTTTAATTTTCAATTTCTGATTATTTGTTGCTATTATATAGTTTTTTATATGTCAATCTTGTATTCTATGATCTTGCTAAACTCACTGTTTAGTTCTAGTAGCATGTTTACAAATTTCATAGAATGTTCTACATAGATGATCATATCACCTATGAATAGATTATTTTAATTCTTATTTTACAATCAGGATCCTTGTAATATATTTTTCTTAACCTACACACTGTTTAGGACCTTCCAGTACAGCATTAGATTTTCTGTGTCTCTCTTACTTTTGCACTTCAAAGATATGCACATTCTCCAAAAGAACCCTGTGCTTAGAATTTAGAAGCTTTCTGTTGCTGAAACTGACCAGTATTAATTGGGAGTTAATTAATCCAACTAAGTTTACCTGGGTGTAGCTTATTTGAAATTTTGTACGTTATTAAGTGAAAAAAATTGTAGCACAGAAATACTTATTTGTGTGTGTGCATGTATGTAGAGAGAAACTTATCTCTATGTTTTAAAAAACATGTCTGAGCATATTATGCAAGTATCACTGTGTGCCTGTGTGTGCTCATGCTGTGTCTAGCTGAGTGCGCCAAAATGCACTCTACATTGTGAACTCTACTGACCCGAAGAGAAAGAAGTATTATTAGAGGTGGGGCATAGAGAAAAATCTCATATTTTACAACATAAAATGTAATATATTTTGACCTTTTTATAATGAGGCTTATCAATCTTGCAATTTAACATACGCATTTAAAAAACAAAAGCCTATGCATGGGCAAGGACTTCATGTCTAAAACACCAAAAGCAATGGCAACAGAAGCCAAAATTGACAAACGGGATCTAATTAAACTAAAGAGCTTCTGCACAGCAAAAGAAACTACCATCAGAGTGAACGGGCAACCTACAAAATGGGAGAAAATTTTCGCAACCTACTCATCTGACAAAGGGCTAATATCCAGAATCTACACTGACCTCAAACAAATTTACAAGAAAAAAACAAACAACCCCATCAAAAAGTGGGCGAAGGACATGAACAGACACTTCTCAAAAGAAGACATTTATGCAGCCAAAAAACACATGAAAAAATGCTCACCATCACTGGCTATCAGAGAAATGCAAATCAAAACCACAATGAGATACCATCTCATACCAGTTAGAATGGCGATCATTAAAAAGTCAGGGAACAACAGGTGCTGGAGAGGATGTGGAGAAATAGGAACACTTTTACACTGTTGGTGGGACTGTAAACGAGTTCAACCATTGTGGAAGTCAGTGTGGCGATTCCTCAGGGATCTAGAACTAGAAATACCATTTGACCCAGCCATCCCATTACTGGGTATATACCCAAAGGACTAGAAATCATGCTGTTATAAAGACACATGCACACGTATGTTTATTGTGGCACTATTGACAATAGCAAAGACTTGGAACCAACCCAAATGTCCAACAATGACAGACTGGATTAAGAAAATGTGGCACATATACACCATGGAATACTATGCAGCTATAAAAAATGATGAGTTCATGTCCTTTGTAGGGACATGGATAAAATTGGAAATCATCATTCTCAGTAAACTATTGCAAGAACAAAAAACCAAACACCGCATATTCTCACTCATAGGTGGGAATTGAACAATGAGAACACGTGGACACAGGAAGGGGAACATCATACTCTGGGGACTGTTGTGGGGTAGGGGGAAGGGGGAGGGATAGCATTGGGAGATATACCTAATGCTAAATGACGAGTTAATGGGTGCAGCACACCAACATGGCACATGTATACATATGTAACTAACCTGCACATTGTGCACATGTACCCTAAAACTTAAAGTATAATAATAATAATTTTTTTTTTAAAAAAAGAAGACATACAAGCAGCCAACATACGAAAAAAGGCTCCACATCACTAATCAACAGAGAAATGCAAATCAAAACCACAGTGAGATACAATCTCACACCAGTAAGAATGGCTATTATTTTTAAAAAATCAAAAAATAACAGATGCTGGTAAAGCTATGGAGAAAAGGGAATATATGCGCTGATGGTGGGAATGTAAATTAGTTCAGCCACTGTGGAAAGCAGTTTGGAGATTTCTCAATGAGCTTAAAACAAAACTGCTATCAGACTTACCATTCCCATTACTGGGTATATGTCCAAAAGGAAAAAATCCTTCTACCAAAAAGACATATGCATTCATCTATTCATTGCAGCATTATTCACAATAACAAAGACATGCAATCAACCCAGGTGTCCATCAACATTGGATTGGATAAAGAAGTTGTTGTACATCTACACCGTGGAATACTATGCACCATAAGAAAGAATGAAATCGTGTTCTTTGCAGCAACATGGTGGCAGGTGAAGGCCATTATCCTAAGCAAATTAAAGCAGAAACAGAAAACCAAATAGTGCATGTTCTCACCTACAAGTGAGAGCTAAACATTGGGCACATCTGGGCATAAAGATGATAACAAAAGAAACTGTGGACTAGTAGAGTGGGAAGGCGGGGAGGGAACAGGGTTGAAAAACTAACTATTGGGTACTATGCTCAGTACCTGAGTGATGAAATCATTTATATTCCAAACTTCAGCATCATACAACTGCACATGTACTCCCTGAATCTAAAATAAGAGTTTAAAAAAATTAATAAAGTAGTCAAAAAATAAAAAATGAAATAAAAATAAAATAAAATAAAAAACAAAAGCAACAAAATAGACAGAAGTTAGACAAAGAACAGACAATGATTTTCACAAAGAGGCTGTCTCAGGAAAACATGTTATGGTATTTTTCATGTTCTTCTATGTGATCCTCTGCATTTTTTTTTGTTATAATGAATATGTATTGTGAAAAGAAAAGGTCTTTTCCTTAATTCTAAAAATGTGCCCATGAGAAAGTGTCAGTGCATCAAAAACACTACTAAAGCTAAGCAATATCATCCAAATTGCCAACACAAGCTGATTAAAGAAAACTAAATTCTAAGCTATTGGAGTAAACTGCCAGAATCTGTTTTCAAAACCTGAAATGCTTTCTCTGAAATTCAAAGTAGCAAAACGTCATCCTAGATTCTTACCAGGATTTGATTTTAATAAAACACACTGACCTTCAGTCAGCATTCATTTCTACACTGACTCTTTTATAAAGGTTTTAGAATCATGATATCAAAAATATCCAAGCAAAATTAACATTCACTGCTCGTGTATTTTGAGTAAAGCTACTCATGTCTTCTAAATGTACAATTTAATTCTTATTATACATATAACATTTATTGCTATCTGTCTCTCTAAAAACAAGTATAAAAATAAAGGTTCTACATTTCATTATATGGCTACTCTTTAATTTTTTTAATTTAAGTACACACACACATTCATTAGTCTTGTTATTTAGGTTCAGTCAAGGTTGTCTTAGGCCATAGCAGTGCAAGGTGGAATGTTATCTCTATTATTGCCAAACCTTTAGAAATGTTACTCTTTCAGTCCTGTCTTTAAACAACACATTTCCTGAACTTCATGTGTATTACTAGCATTGCTTTTTAACGTTCAAAAATACAGAAAACCAACACAAGGAACTGTTTCTGGCTCATTCTGTACCTGCTCTTGGCATCCCACACTACCATTCCTTCAATGTAACCTTGACATTGGCTCATATGCATAATGTTAGATAATTTTTAAATTAGGAGTCTTAGATCTCAGGAATGGTTTGAAAGTCAAGATCAAAGTGTGGATTTCATTCCTTTAAACAACCAGAGTTTCCAATCCAGTGCAGGTGTGAAAACTCTCATCTACAAAATCACTGGGGATCCTGGCTCCTTTCAGATCACCGTGCCACCATCCCCAAGGTTATCTCTCTGTCTTGGTGTTTTAATTTGGCAACTTCATAGTCCAACCACCCAGAGGAGAGGGAAGACTGATGGAGTGGGGCAAAATGTTTCCTAGAAAGTGATATGACAAAAAAAAAAGCAGCAGAGTTCTCTTCAGGCTTTATTTCTGTTTAACTTTCAAAAATTATTTTCTTCTGTGAATTACATCAAAGCCCAAATGCTTAGCTCAGCAATGAACTATTAGAAAATTTTAAATGATATTTTAATAACAGTAATAAGGAAGAGCTGACCTTGATTTAAAAATCCAACCAAACTCATCATTAATTTTCTATCAAAACAATATATATTTTCTTCTATATCTAATGATCCCGTAGCCTATCTTCAGATTTTCCTTCTTCCATGCCACCTCCCTCTCTGATTTTGGAAGAGAAACAAAAAAAAAAAAAAAAAAACAAGAAAGCATGTTTAATCTTGTAGCTAGATGTTGCAGGTAAGATAATAAAACTTGGACTATTAAAAAATGAATGGGTTGTGAAATACAGAAAGACTCAGGTTCTTTGGAAAAACATAAGGTATATCAACAGTCCTGAACCTTTTTGGGACCAAGGACTGGTTTTGTGGGAGACAATTTTTCCAAGGGCCAGTGGTAGAAGGATGGTTTCAGGATGAGTCAAGCGCATTCCATTTGTTGTACACTTTATTTCTGTTTTTATTACATTGTAATATATAATAAAATAATTATGACAACTCACAGTCATGTAGAATCAGTGGGAGCCTTGAACTTGTTTTCCTGCAACTAAATTATCTTATCGGGGGGCAATGGGAGACAGTGACAGATCATCAGGCATTAGATTCTCATAAGGAGCCCACAACCTAGATCCCTCATGTGCACAGTTTACAATAGGGTTTGTGCTCCTGTGAGCCTCTAATGCCAACTCTGATCTGACAGAAGGTGGATCTCAGGTGATCATGCAAGTGATGCTGAGCAGCCATGAATACAGATGAAGCTTTGCTCGCTCACCTGCCCCCCACCTCCTACGGTGCAGCCAAGTTCCTAACAGGCCACAGACCAATACCAGTCCATGATTGGGGGTTGGGGACCCCTGAGGTATATAATGCAGGAAATTTGGGAAACCCAGTTTACTATCTTGTATTATTGGAGACTATCAGTGAGCATCAGCTGATAAGAAGAGGTGACATATTCTCCAAGTGGTTCAGAGTTCAGACTTCTATTTTGGTCTGCTTTGGACCACATACCTCCTTCAGAAGTTAACATCTACATAAATGCAGGCAAATAGTTTTAACCTTTCTAAGTATCTTTACCACAAAATGAGATAATAATAACACCAACCTCATAAGACTGTTGTAAAGAGCACGTGCAAAACTTAACATAGTGCCCTAACTCACAGCAAGTACTGAAAAACATTAGCAATTACTTATTACAAACACTGAGAAGTCCCACAGTTAAAAAATAAAAAAAGCTTTGTTTGACCTATATTACCCGAACTTACAAATAACAATGCCCTCTCTGTTTTTCAAATAGAGCATCTAACAGCAACCAATGGAATACACTTGATAATATACTAGATTAACCTAACTCCTGGACATTTTAGAAAGTTAATCAACTTAGTAAGTCAAAATATATTTCCCCGAAAAAAAAATTCAATCCCTTCACTCTTAACAGTTGCAGAAGATCTGTATATCTTTTTCCCTTAAGTACCATGTATAGAAGTATACTGTTTTCAGAAGGAAAAAAAAAAAATCCCATTTATATCTCCTAATCTATATTTGGCAATTGAGCATCCACACTATCTAGACAGCAGCATATGCAAACTTGATTGAGTTCCACAGATTTTTTTTCTCTCTCCTTTTTTAAACCAAATGTCACATTTCTGAGTTATGTTTTCAGTCATGCAGCCTGCATCTTCAGAAATATACGCTTTTAATCTAAGAAAAAATACAGTCCAGTACACTTCCTAAAAATTTAAATTTATAACATCCAAAGGTTATTTTTTTAGTGTCACAAAACTGACAAATGCAAATTCTTGACAATAGCAGATTTGGAAACTTCTATAGCAACCAAGTGGATGAGCATACGGCATCTGTTCTAATAAACATATGAGATCACCTTATTCTGCTCAACGTACCACAGAATTTAAGTCATGTGTTTTCAAAAAATATTGAAGAAAAAGAAATCTAGCTAGCCGTATTGGCTGAATTTTGCAGAATGATAGAAGAGTACTTGCAATAATTTATTCCATCCAAACAAATATATAATATAGAATTAACATTTTTATATACTTTCCAGTCTTCATAAAAAGATGTATGAAATACATATAAGATATATTATGTGTACATGTACATTTATATATGTGTCTATGGGTATATAATTATACATTGTTTACACAAGTTTATGTCTTACATTTATATAAACACTATCACAAACGATTTCCTATTATACTGAAATTTACAAAACCAACATTTTAAAGGATGTGGCATAGTTCCTCATATAAAGATCATTTATATCTGCCCATTTTTAGGAATCTGAATTATATTTAGTTTTTAACTACTATAGAGAACACTGTGATGAACATTTCAGCATGCAAAATCTTTGTTGTAATTACTGTTCTTGGGGCTGTTTTCTAAAACAGTAATTACCATCTAAAATTACTTATCAAAATGAAGTAAAATTTCATAAGCATTTGTTGAGAAATTGCTTTCGAGCAATGATAAACTTGTAACTCCATAAGCACTGAGGTATTAGCTCCATTAGCAGCTCTCGTCACCTTTAGAAATATTGAAGGGAAAAAATCTATTTTTAATGACTTCAAATGTTAGAGAAAAATCTCATCCTTTTTGGTTTTCCTTTTCTATTATTACTACATTTGAATATTTTTCTAAGTTTATTATTTGGTAGTGTTTCTCCTGCAAATTGCATTTATGTCCTTTCTCTTTTTGGGAAGGTAGAGGAAGCTTGCTTTTTTCTCTACCATTTCTATTAACTCTTGTAAACATACAAATTTGGAGTCATGGTTATTATACATATTTACCCAGCTGTTACATTGCTTTGTTTTTAAGCATGACAAGATGACGTGGAAATTCTGCTGCCTCTTTGTTTTTAATGTGATAGAGTTTATGTCCTTTACTATTATCTTCTTTTATTCCAGTTTAGTAACATACCCCATGCAACATCCCTAATATGTTCTTACCTAAAAGTATAAATGGCCTCTCCTAATCACTAGCTCAAAGTTGCCCCAGAGCAGATGGTAGTGTAAATCAAAGCCTAGTTATCTATATTTGTCTGTTTTTGCACTGCTATAAATATCTGAGACTGGGTATTTTAAAATTTATAAACAATTTATAAAGAAAAGAGGTTTAATTGGCTCATGGTTTCACAGGCTGTACAAGAAACAAGGCTGGGAGTCCTCAGGAAACTTTCAATCATGACGGAAAATGAAGGGGAAGCCGGCAGGTCTTACATGGCTGCAGCAGGAAGAAAAGGAGGGGGTGAAGGAGTTACACGCTTTTAATCAAACAGATCTCACAATAACTCACTTATTACCATGAGAGCAGCACCAAAGGGAAAAATCACCCTCATGATCCAATCACTTCCCACCAGCCCCAACCTCCAACATTGGGGATTACAATTTGACATGAGATTTGGGCAGGGACATAGACCCAAACCACATCAATATTCCAAACCTGTTTGCATTATGATTTCACCAGTTGGTTTCCAAATGGGAGTCCAAAATCCCTTGTCTAGGCACAAAATATAAATAGAATAATTAAATCCTAAGTTTTTTAAATTATGAATTTATGAACTCAGTATCAGTTGTAGAATATTTTATAGTATAGATCTTTGTCCCCGGTCTCTTTCGTGAGTCACTTGTGATGCGGACTGACTAAAGCGCACATGTTAGGATGACCACCAGAAACAATGTATCTCAAAAAACCAATTTTGCATCATTTTATCTTAATACTGAGAGCAAACCAAACTAGTTCCCCTAAACAGAAATAGCTTCTCATTCAGCCATAGAAAAGGACATTCTGCCATTTGCCACAATATGGGTGGACGTGAAGAACATTGTGCTAAGTGAAATGTGTCAAACACAGATAGAAAACTATTGCATGATTTCACTTACATATGGAATCTTTTTTTTTTTTGAGACGGAGTCTCGCTCTGTCGCCCAGGCTGGAGTGCAGTGGCGGGATCTCGGCTCACTGCAAGCTCCGCCTCCCGGGTTCACGCCATTCTCCTGCCTCAGCCTCCCGAGCAGCTGGGACTACAGGCGCCCGCCACCATGCCCGGCTAATTTTTTGTATTTTTAGTAGAGACGGGGTTTCACCGTTTTAGCCGGGATGGTCTCGATCTCCTGACCTCGTGATCCGCCCGCCTCGGCCTCCCAAAGTGCTGGGATTACAGGCGCGAGCCACCGCGCCCGGCCGGAATCTTTTTTTAAAAGGACAAATATACACAGAGAATAAAACGGTGGTGGGAGAGAGGAAATGTGGAAATGTAGTTCAAAGCACATAAAGTCGCAAATATGTAGATTTTAGCTGCTCTTGTCACACACACCAAACCTGGTGAGATTATGGATATGCTCATTTGTTCACTATAGTAGCCATTTTACTATCTATTTGTATCCTATAACATGTAATAAACCTCAAATACACACAATAAAATTTATTTAGAGAAATAGAAATGGCCACACCCTTTCGCATCTTTTTAAATTTTTTGAATATCTTTATACTGATACCGAGGTTTATTAGACTTTCAACTGACTTTTAAAGTCCTCATTGTGTTGTACTCTATTTGTTCAATGTCCCCATGGATCTCCTGTCTACCCTACTTTACCCTGAACTCTGCCCCAGGAGGCTGCACTTTGAGATTGCATCTCCCGAACCATCTTGCTCCTGGGTTCCACTTTAGTTTGGCCAATGGGAGTCAGGAGAGAAACTGAGGAACTTCTTGGTGAAGTTCCTTCATATCTGCCGTCAGACACCCTCTTCTACAGGACTCAGGGATATTGGCCAACCAATTCTGTTCCTGGCCCCTTCAGGCTTAGTGGTGATAACAGTTTCCTGCTGCTACTCATCCTTGGTACCACACCATTTTTTGATGGTTCAGTTAATTCTGCCCAAATGATTATGAACACCCTTTCATTAAACTCTTCAATAACTCCTTAGAGGAGCCATCTGCTTTTTCCCTGCCTTCTGCTAGATAGAAAACAGGTGGTTCCCCTAAAGAGTTATTGAAGAGTTTAATAAAAGGATATATTCTGATGCTGATGTAATAAAATATTCAAGTTTATTAGGTGTTAGAATTTATCAATGTCAAGGATAAAAAAAAAGGTATTGATTGTGTACCTCCTGATAAGGGGATAGAATTATTGGAGTCTTATATTTAACTCTTCCACCATTTAAAACAATTATTTATGTGACTTGAGATTCTAGTCACATATTCTTATTGTTATTATTACTATTTTTACAAAATAATTTGAGAATTGTGTAAAATATTTTCAGTCAATTGGGTACTATCAATTGATACTTATTATTATTTAGATCAGACAAGATGTTTAGCGAGCTTCAATAATTGTTTTGACTCCCTTGTAGCACTACTTCCTCATTCTTGACTTTCTACTTTCATTTGCACATCCGGTAGACTTCAATAATTTTTTGCGGGGTAGGGTATATGAATGATATGTTATAAGAACTTCTTTAAAGCAGAGAAAAAAGTTTTGTTTGCCTCTACACGTCATCTACAGAGTTTCCTATAAATTTTTGGTGCCATAGATTTTGTCTCAAATTTTTCTTGACCACTGTGCCATAGTTCTTACGTGTTGGTGTTGTGACAAAAAAAAAATGTATATATCCAAGCATTTTGACTCGTTTTCATAAGAAAAATGTTCTTCACATAAATACGTTTTTGAAATATGATATGCAAAAATTCCTAGAATATGTTTAAGATGGGCTCAGTTTTACTTATTTTAATATCATGTGTTGGGTACTTTCATACTGACTATGCAAAATGGGATTTCATCATAAGAAAGTTATAATTAGATCTGTATTTGCAATTATTTCTTCCCTTATATGTGTTCTTAATCTTCCCCAAAAGTTATCTTCTGATTTTCTATGTTCTGTGCTCCTTATATACCATCTTCATTATTTTCTATTTTTTAATTATTCAAATATAACATATAACTCTACTTTATTATGGTTTGCTCATGATATGACCCTATTTCATATATTGTGTTTTTCTCTCAGCCTAAAAATCTGCATTCTCATCTAAAATTGTATTTTTTAGCTATTTTTTTATTAAGACAACTTTCCTAATGTTTGACATCTCAAAATTCAATGATTTCTAAAGTCTATTTTCAAAAGTAGTCTTTTTCAAAAGTGGTTTGTATTTATGCTTCCTAGCTCTCATGCTTTGTAATATTTGGTAGGTTCTATATTGGCAAGTTTGCATTTAATTATTTGAAGTAAGACAGGTGTAATCAAGCCATTCCCTTCCATGACCTCTAGTTAAGGGGGATAAGTCTTATGGCCAGAGTTCTAGTCACTTGTCCTTCCAGTGAATCAGTGGATTCAATGGAAGATACTTTTCTCTGATCTTGGAATACTAAGTATATTTAGGTGTCAAAATTTATTCATCCCAGGGAAGATCCAGTTTGGATCTGAATTAATGTCTCCATGAGGATCAAGAGGCAGCAAACACAATGATCTTATTTGGCTGACTGACATGGCAAGAAAACATCTTTGTGCTGTACACTTTTATCCTTCTCGACATCTGGTATTAATTGTATGCTCAAATTTTTAACCCCTGATTATATTTGTGTCTAGATTATGTTTCAAGAATAAGACAAGCAGCTGGGCACAGTGGTTCACTACTGTAATCCCAGGATTTTGGGAGGCCAAGGCGGGCAGATCACTTGAGGTCAGGAGTTGGACACCAGCCTGGCCAACATGGCAAAACCCCATCTCTACCAAAAATACAAAAATGAGCCCAGCATGGTGGCATGTGCCTATGGACCCAACTACTTGAGAGGCTGAGGCACGAGAATCGCTTGAACCTGGGGTGGGGCAGAGGTTGCAGTGAGCTGAGATCCTGCCACTGTACTCCAGCCTGGGTGACAGAGGGAAATTCTGTCAAAAAAAAAAAAAAAAGACAAACAAGATATTGCTCATAATGTTTGATGAGTTGGTGATGAGTGCTTCCCTGTGTTATTTTATGCCACAGTCATCTTGAAAGATAAAATAAAGAAATAAAAAACCACAGGTTCTCACTTTTAAGTGGGAGCTAAATGGTGAGAACACATGGACACATAGATGGGAACAATGCACACCTGGGCCTATCGGAGGGTGGAGGGTGAAGGGTGGGAGGAGGGAGAGGATCAGGAAAAATAACCTAGTGGGTTCTAGGCTTCATACCTGGGTGATGAAATAATCTGCACAACAAACAGCTGTGAAACAAGCTTACCCATATAACAAACCTCCACATGTACCCCTGAACTTAAAAGTTTTTTTAAAAAAAGAAAATTGGTTTTTTGTTCTTGCGATAGTTTACTGAGAATAATTTAAAAAAAAAAATTAAAAAAAAAGAAAATTGTTATTGTGAATAGTGCCACAACATACATACGTGTGCATGTGTCAAAGACTTGGAACCAACCCAAATGTCCAACAATGATAGACTGGATTAAGAAAACGTGGCACATGTACACCATGGAATACTATGCAGCCATAAAAAATGATGAGTTCATGTCCTTTGTAGGGACATGGATGAAGCTGGAAACCATTATTCTCAGCAAACTATCACAAAGAAAAAAAACCAAACACCACATGTTCTCACCCATAGGTGGGAATTGAACAATGAGAACACATGGACACAGGAAGGGGAACATCACACACCGGGGCCTGTTGTGGGGTGGGGGGAGGGGGGAGGGATAGCATTTGGAGATATACCTAATGTTAAATGACGAGTTAATGGGTGCAGCACACCAACATGGCACATGTATACATATGTAACTAACATGCACGTTGCGTACATGTACCCTAAAACTTAAAGTATAATTAAAAAAAAGAAAAAAAAGAAAATTGTTAGGCAATCAAATTTTAAGGGAGCAATTTACATTTGTGTAGCTGGATAATAAATATACTCATCAATTTACAGTAAAAATTTGTATAGAAAAATAATGAGAATTAATGTTGAAAAGGTATAGGGAAACATACAGCAATTTACAAGTGCAAATTTAAGGATCCTGGACTTTATTTTTCTAGGAAAAAACATTTTGTCTTGTGTGCACTTGGAAGTGTTAGGATGTAAGAAGAATTTCTTGGGAAGTAGGGACCTGAAAAAGAAGCAACTAGGATGCATGAGAAAAGAGAATGGGCAATATTTGGAAACACAGAGAGGTCGTGACATTGGTTGGAGTTAGAATAATGTAAGCTGTAAGTTGATACAAATTACAGTAACTTATTTTTTTTTTTTTTTGAGATAGAGTTTTGTTCTTGTTGCCCAGGCTGGAGTGCAATGGCATGATCTTGGCTCACTGCAACCTCCACCTCCCAGGTTCAAGCGATTCTCCTGCCTCAGCCTCCCGAGTAGTTGGGATTGCAGGAGTGCGCCACTATGCACAGTTAATTTTGTATTTTTGGTAGAGATGGGGTTTCTCCATGTTGATCTGGGTGGTCTCAACTGCCAACCTCAGATGATCCACCCACCTCAGCCTCTCAAAGTGCTGGGATTACAGCCGTGAGCCACTGCGCCTGGCCTAATGTGTCATTTTTATATAGTAATGTTCTTCTTTAAAGACTTTTCAAAAAATTGAAAGCATACATTTCTCTTGTGGCACTTATTTCATATATCAATAATTCTACTTGGATGTTAATGCTCACTACACAAAGACAATAAGCTCCTCAGGAAGCAAGACTGTATATAAATCATCTTTATATCTTCTAAATTCAACAAGATGTTTTATAAGAGGATCTTAAAAAAGTGATAGTCATACATAATTATATTAATGGAAATAGGAGCTTGTTAGTAATGATCCAATCTAACCCCTTCATACCAAGATAAGGAAATTAAGACTCAAAGAGTTTTAATACTTTCTTCAAGGTTTATATTATACCTGTTTATATATATATATATATAAATTAACAAATGCATTTGTGATGTAACAATAATTATGTTTGACTCATATTTATGAGGAATGCTGCAAGGATATGGTGGCAGAAATCTGAATACCATCATTTTAAGTTCAAGAACATTAAACAGTTCCTGTAATCCTGCTAAAGGATACAAATACTTTAAATCAATGAAGTTAAACGGAGATGTTAATTCCATTAAGTTCCTGACAGAAAAATCTGTATTATGTTTGCCATAAATTTCTTATTAGATACACTCATAAAATGGGTGTTTAACCACAGTGCAATTTTATATTCCAATTACTTAGTATACATTTAATGTAAAACAATCTTGAAGACAATAAATTTGAATATAATTTTTATTCGAGAATAAGTATTGTAACTGGATATAATAAAATGAACCTGATATCCCTCAAAAGAGAAGACAGTGGGCTGACAATCGATACCCCCAAGTCCAATCTTCCCTTTTCCCTTGAGAAATTGCTTGCCTCCCATTTTACTCTTTCTTCTTGTGTAAGCTAGATTGTGAAAAAGAGACAAGATCCTAGGGAATGGAAGAGCAAGAAGAGAGAAGCAGCCGGGTTTCTGAATGATCACATAGAACTGAGCTAACTATTTCACCCTGCACCACCTAGTTGGCTTTGAATTAGTACATAAGAGAAACATTTGCAACGCTATGCATCATGGCCATTTGTTACTGCAGTTTGATCTCTGCAATAAATAAAACAAGCAACAACAGTACATAAAGTTGAACATGCCAGGAAGTTTGGCAAACAGAGTATGTGATAACTAGTAGCATAAAAAACTTAAAATATATCTATTTCCTTAAAAGTATGCAATAGATATTAATAAATATTAAGACTTTTTCATATGTAAGAATGCTCAAGTTGAATATATTCAAATTTAGCAGGAATATTACTGAGAAAACTTAGTAGAAGCTAAAATTGTATTCTTATGGGGACAACCATAATGGATTTCACTGCTGCAAAATTCAAGACAGATCCATCTGTGAGCAACACTAAAAGCCGCATAATAGCAATGTAAGAGATGAACTGAAATTCATTATTTCCTCCCTTAGCTACAGTCACAAGAGGCAGGGGTAGAAAAGGTCAAACCTTCATAATGACTATAGTGATAGAAAACTTTTTAGATAAAATTTTAAATGATTCACAAGTCTCCAAACTAGTTTTATATTAATGTGACTGACAAAAATGTGCATCATAAAAAGTGCAATAATTTATCCAGTTAGTCTTTTTTGTTCTAAAATATATCTTGGGAAACTGGACATCCTCATAATTGCCTATAAATTAAGATGCTCTGTTTGAAAGCCATTCATTTGCAGAAAATTTATTATAATAAAATTAGAAAGGCATGAAAACAATTCAACATGTGTTCTCAGAAGTCTAGCAGATTCTACCTAATCCATTCAGTTAAACAATTAGTTTCAGTTTGTAAAATACATAGTAGTTAATTCATTGTTTTGCCAATGTATCATTTTAGATGTGCAAAGATGCATTAATAGTGTCCTAAAACATGCATAACTAACAACCCCGTGGAACGCTTTATGATCAGATAATTTGCATAAAGGATAAACAGAATATGTGAGGAGGATGGATATCATAAATGTTTTCTCTTGAGGGCTGAGGTTATCTAAAGTACAGCAAATAAAAAATGGTTTGTTTCACATCCAAGTTTTAACTTTTCCCTCTTGGGCTATTAATTATAAGCCATTAAAAAATTAAACTAAAAATGTTAAGAAAAGCATCCTCATAAAGTTGAAGGCTGAGCTATAGTAGTATGTGCTTTTTATTAGTGTGACTATTCAATAGGACAATGGATGTGTGCAGCTCACATAAAATTGGACATAAATTGTTTAAATAATATCCTTGAGCTTTTGCAGCTCAAGAAATCATTAAAAAGTGTCATCACCCTAATGTTTCTGCTCAGGAAAAGCTCTGGTTTCAGCTTTGATGTGAATTATTGTCCACCAAATAATTAGCAAAATAAAACA
The DNA here is from genome assembly GCF_000001405.40 of Homo sapiens. Lineage (NCBI taxonomy): Eukaryota > Metazoa > Chordata > Mammalia > Primates > Hominidae > Homo > Homo sapiens. Next base: position 18,027,423 of record NC_000005.10, on the reverse strand, counting down.
GCCCTACTCAACAGCTTGGAAGATACTTAAAATATACATGAGGGTGATACTGCCAAGCCAAACCAACAAATCAGAAACATACAGGCTATTTCCAGATTTGGGGTCTTTAGGAGTAGGTTATTGAGGACCAGTTTTGAGAGTTGCCTTGGAAATTTTTTCAAAGACTCAGTGTTTATTGTAGACATTGAACAACTGCAAAAAAGACAGGAAAATTTCCCTCATCTTGCTAGAGAGGTAGACATCCAGATACAAGAAATTCAGAGAAGGCCTGGAAGATACTGTACATGATGATCATCAAGGCACATAGAAAAAAACAATCCCATCAAAAAGTGGGCTAAGGACATGAATAGACAATTCTCAAAGAAGATATACAAATTATCAACAAACATATTAAAAAATGCTCAATATCACTAATGATCAGGTAAATGCAAATCAAAACCACAATGTGATCCATCTTACTCCTGCAAGAATGGTCATAATCAAAAAAATTTAAAAAAAGATAGACGTTAGCATGGATGTGGTGAACCGGAAACTCTCCTACAGTGCTGGTGGGAACGTAAACTAGTACAACCACTGTGGAAAACAGCGTGGACATTCCTAAAAAACTACAAGTAGAACTACCATTTGATCTGGCATTTCCACTACTGGGTGTCTACCCAGAGGAGATGAAGTTATTATACGAAAAAGATACCTGCACACGCATGTTTATAGCAGCACAATTCACAATTGCAAAATCGTGGAACCAACCCAAATGCCCATCAATCAATGAATGGATAAAGAAACTGTGGTATATATATGCAACGCAATACTACTCAGACATAAAAATGAATGAATTAATAGCATTTGCAGCAACATGGATGAGATTGGAGATTATTATTCTAAGTGAAGTAACTCAGGAATGGAAAAACAAACACCGAATGTTCTCACTGATATGTGGGAGCTAAGCAATGAGGACACAAAGGCATAAGAATGATACAAAGGACTCTGGGGACTTGCGGGGAAGGATGGGAGCGGGGCAAGGGATAAAAGACTGCAAATAGGGTGCAGTGTATACTGCTCAGGTGATATGTGCACCAAAATCTTACAAATCACCACTAAAGAACCTACTCATGTAACCAAATACCACCTGTACCCCAATAACTTATGGGGAAAAAAACTCATTTAAAAATTAAGCTATGGTTTTAAAATATTTTCAGTGTACATTTCTGAAAAATAATTAGCCACAATATATAATAAACAATAAAAATCAACTTTAAAAGATAAATCTTCCAATAGGAAATTGGAAAAAAAGTATATGAAAATAAAATTTAAAGCATAAAAGATCAATATGGCCAACTGACCTAGAAAATATGCTCACCCTCAATAATAATCAGCAAATTAAAATTAAAAGAATCATTCTCAGTAGAACAGACTCCCAAAGATGCCCAGGCCCCAGTCCCTAAAAATTGTGACTATGTTACCCTACATGGAAAAAATGATTTTGCAGATTGATTAAGATTTTGTACCTCAAAATAGGGAGATTATAGCCTGGATTATACAGGTGTGCCCAACCTTAATAAACGAAACCTTAAAACCAGAGAACTTTCTCCAGCTAGAATGATAGAAAGAAGATACGTGAAGTTTGAGAAGCTCAAAGTGTGAGAGGGCCTTGAACCACCATTGCTAGAGGAGAACCATATGGAAAGAATGAGAAAAATTACAGGCAACTTCTAGTAGCAAAGACTACCACAGGCTGCCAGAAGAATTTGAATTCAACCAATAACCTGAATGAGCTTCCAGAAACATACATACACCTGTAAACGCCTCCATTTTGCCCTTGTGTGATTCTGAATGCAGGACCCAGCTGAACAACACACTATACCCAGTCTTCTGACCTACAGAGCTATAGAAAATAAATGCTTGTTATTTTTTCTTTTCTTTTCTTTTTTTTTCGAGACAGAGTCTTGCTCTATCGCCCATGCTGAAGTGTAGAAATGCTTGTTATTTTAAGCCACTAAATGTGTGGTAATTTGTTATGACTGCTGTAGAAAACTACTAAAGGAACAGTAAAATATTTTACATCTATCAGCTCAGCAAAAATTAAATAAAGTGTTAATGAAGATTTGAGGAATGGGAAAATATACACCAGTAGTATATTGGTCAGTATAAGTTGATGCAAACACCCCAGAGAGCAATTAGTCTTTTTCTGGTAAGATTTTTAGAGTGCATATCTTTAGACCTACAAATTCCACTTCTAGGGCTCTGTCCTGGAGATTGAGCATATGCTCATGGAGACATGTTATAATGTTTTCTCTCTTCGTTTGGCAATAATCAGAAACTTAAAAAATGGACAAAACCTAATGATTACTCAGTAAGAGAATTTAAAAAGTGCTTTATCCATTGAATGGAATGCTAGGCAACAGTTGTGACTGCTTCAAATCTCATTTAATAAAATTAATTCAAAAACAGAAAAATATTTAATAGCATTGAGTGCTTACTCCATAGAAGGCAGTGTTCTAAGCACTTGATATATATTAGCTCTTAATCATCATAGCCATTGGAAGTAGAAATAACTATTCTTATTTAAAAAATGAGAAAATCAAGACCTATGGAGACTAAATAACCCGCCAAGATCATCAGTAATGAAGACTCTAGTGTTGACCATTTACCTTTTGGGTTATATAAATGGTGCCCCCTGGAGTCAAGCCGCAGTTAAGCCTTGGGGTCCCATGTGGAGGTTCTGAAGGGTTTCATAGTTCACAAGCACTAAAACCTGGACTCCAACCCAAGCATTGTGGCTCCAGAATTCATGCTCTTAACTATCTGCCTATACTTGCTTCAGTACAGAGTTGCTAAGTCCCTGCTGTATTCTGGGCACTGTGAGAATCTCTGGGATGTCACAAGCAGCGTGCAGGTAAGGGCTGTGTCATGTTGAAATACATGGTCTCGGAGAGACCAATATGCAGCTATAACATTAACACTGTATGATGGTGTTCACTCAAGGATGTACTGGAGGTAAAGGAAACAGAAGGCAGGAGATCCCAGCCTAGGCACAGGCAGAAGGTTGGAAAAGGACTAAAACAAACACCCTGCAAAGAGTTCCAGAAGAAGGCAGCTTCACAACAGATAGAAAATACACATTAATAGCTTTCATTTAAAAAAAAATCAGTCAGATATATTACTCCCTACAGATATCCAAATGAATGGTACATAATGTCAAAAGGAAATACTTGACATTAGGGGCAGGTGCTTCCTGAAGACTCAGAAAACCCACAATCTCAAAGAGAGACCATCACCCAGAGCTTTTGTTTTTAGAAATGTTTAAGCTAAATTGCATTACTTTTTCCACCATTGGAGCTGGAATTATGTGTATGTGTTGGCGGGGGGGGGCGGATAATTTTAACAAAGAAACAAAGGGTTTTTTTTTTTCTGTTTTGGAGGGTTTTTTTTTTTTTTTTTTTTAGATTCAGAAGAAAGAGCACCTGTGTAGAGAGAAATCAGGCACATGTAATGAGTATGCCTGGTGGTCAGCTAAGGTCACTCTCAAATACGTGCCTCGAAACACTTACGAATACAGATAATAAACAATATCACTCATGAAAAATTGAAGCCCCAAATAGTAAATCTGCAAATACCAAGAGACTATTGAATAATATTCAGGACTTTTAAAGGAATAATTTTATGTTCTAAATATAATAATTATAATAAAAGATCTGAAATTGTTTCACAATGATAATATGAAACAAAACCTCACACTTGATAAGTGGGGTAAATTAATTTTTTATTGTCTAAGATAGGTATTAGAGTTTAACAGCATTTCAAAATTGGTTATGTAAAATTACATCACTGCAAATACTTGGTTTTGTTTTATGTTTTAATAATGGATGTGAGGAAAAGAGCTTTGGGACTGTGATTTTCTTCCACTGCCTAGCAACATGCACAAATATGGATCTGTAGATGCAAAACCAGTGACCTTTCTGTTGTGTCTGCCTCTAATGTGTTTAAATGGTTTTGACTGTGTCAGCATTACATACACATTTAAGGGGCACTCTAGACATGGACAATGCATTGTATTGTCTTTTAGCATATGCATTAAATGAACCAATGAGCCCATCCATTTTCAAGAAAAAAAAAAGTAATAGAAAAACAAAAAGAGGCCGGGCACGGTGGCTCATGCCTATAATCCCAGCACTTTAGGAGGCAGAGGCAGGCGGATCATGAGGTCAAGAGATCGAGACCATCCTGGCCAACATGGTGAAACCCCAACTACTAAAAATACAAAAATTAGCTGGGCATGGTGGCGGGTGCCTGTAATCCCAGCTACTCAGGAGGCTGAAGCAGGAGAATCTCTTGAACCTGGGAGGCAGAGGTTGCAGTGAGTCGAGATTGCACCACTGTACTCCAGCCTGGCAACAAAGTGAGACTTCATCTCAAAAAAGTAAAAATTAAAAAAAAGAGTACACATTAAAAATTAGCATCCATAATTACTATTGCAGCATTATTTTTTAAAAAAATTTTTTTATAGAGATAAGGTCTCACTTTGTCACCCAAGCTACAGTGCAGTGGTATGATGATAGCTCACTGCAACCTTGAACTCCTAGGCTTAAAAGATTCTCCCACCACAGCCTCCCAAGTAGCTAGGACTGCTGGCAAGTTCCACCACACCTAGCTAATGTTTTTAATTTTGTAGGGATGAAGTCTAAGTTTTCCAGGCTGGTCTGGAGTTTCTGGCTATTGCAGTAATATTTCTGACTTTTAAAATGTGGTTATTATACCATGCAATATGAGAGGTAAATCTACAATATGGATTTTTAGGACAATGTGTTAATACTCTATTTTACTGTGAGAGTATATTAGTAAAAGTCTTTCCCAGAAAACTGAAATATCACAGAGAAGTCTTAGTACAAGATTAATGATTCAGTATTTAGTTCTTTTTCTGGGAATGTTGGCTGGTATTTTGCATTCATATTTAGTCATTAGATATATTTTATAATGATGAAAATATATTGTTTTTCATAATCATGAACATTTTTGTGAAAATATAGAATTAGCCAAAAAAAAATTTCATGATTTACATTCATAACACCTAGGTAGGATCAATAGCTTCTTATAGTTGTGTTATCTTGGAACAATGAGATTTTTCATTTTTATTGCCTATTGAATTCTCCTGAAGCACTCAAACTGTATATATAGTAAATATTCTTGAACAATGGGATCTCCCTTTTTTATTACCTATTGAATTCTGGCCGAAGAATTCAAACAAAATCGATAGAAAATTTGACTATGCAAACTGGTCAAAGGTATGCTGTGATTAAAACTCGTGGAAAGAAGATGTGGGAGGGGGGCCGGAGTGGGTAAGGGCCCAGAATTCCATCCCTTCACCACTTCCACCAACAGCATCTGAGTGTGCTCTTCCTCCCCGCCCCCATACAAACCATTGCTCCACCGCTTGATACGTGACTTAAAGTGGCTTAAATGAACATCTCTCATGAGAATTTGTTTTCACTGTTTGTCCACGCCGCTAGACTATGAACACTCTTCTATTCATCTTTCCACCTCCAGCACTAACACATTCTTGGGGCTGATACCTGGTGTCCTTTAACATTTGTTAAATGTAGTACTGATAGCTTCTTGGTGGAATTAGGAACCAAGACACACAAAACACCTTGACAGTTCAACTGGGAAAGAAAGAATAACTTCTATTAATTTAACAGTCTTAGCTCCTGTTAGCCATGGTTAGTCAGAGTGGGGAGGAGGGAAGGCAGGAACTCCAAAGGTTCTAAAAGAGGACTTCTAGTAAGTGTTGCCCTTTAGAGAGGTTATTCCACCGGACATATGTCCAGGAAAACTCTTATTTTTTCTTTTCTTTTTTTTTTTTTTTTTTTTGAGACGAAGTTCCTCTCTGTTGTCCAAGCTGAAGTCTAATGGCATGATCTTGGCCTCCACCTCCTGGGTTCAAGCAGTTCTCCTGCCCCAGCCTCCCAAGTAGCTTGGACTACAGGCAGAGGCGACCACACCTGGCTAATTTTTGTATATATTTTTTTCTTAGTAGAGATAGGGTTTCACTATATCGGCCAGGATGGTCTGGAACTCCTGACCTCAGGTGATCCTCCCACCTTGGCCTCCCAAAGTGCTGGGATTACAGAAATGAGCCACTGCACCTGGTCAAAACTCCATTTTGAAACACACTGTAGCAACCTGACTTCTCCCTCTTCTCAATCCAGATCCCCTATTTTCATAGCATCGAGCCAGCTTCTTTGTTTTCCCCAGGGCTTAAGGCTACCCACTTCATCACTCTCTTCCTTTTTATCTTCAATTCTATTAATTTCAAACCTCTGCTTTTAATTAATTACCATTTTTTAAATGAAGAAATGAGGGAGGTGGTATATTCAAGTAAGTCTCAATTCAATTAAATGACTTGAAGAACACACTTCTACCATTATAATTATTTCAACATCCTAGACCCAAGACCATACCCTGAGGAAACATCAAAATGTAGCGTATTCATCTGTTTTCACGGTGCCAATAACGACATACCCAAGACTGGGTTATTTAAAGAGGAAAGAGGTTTAATTGACTCACAGTTCCAGATGGCTTGGAAGGCCTCAGACTCATGGTGGAAGATGAAGGAGAAGCAATACCCATCTTACACGGCAGCAGGCAAGAGAGCGTTTGCAGGCGAACTCCCGTTTATAGAACCATCAGATCTCGTGAGACTTATTCACTACCAGAACAGTATGGAGGAACCGCCTGCCCCCCACCCCCTCCCATGATTCAATAACTTCCACCTGGCCCTACCTTCAACAGGTGGGGATTGTTACAATTCAAGGTGAGATTTGGGTGGAGACACAGCCAAATCATATCATACAGGGAGTGAGATTTTTTTGAAATATCAAGAATACCACAGATATTTTAAATTTCACAGAGAAAAGCACATTGTCATATGAATCAATAAAAGGAAAGTATATTTTAACTTGTCATTGTGAAATTCTAATAGAAATCAGTAAAGATGAGGGCTGAGAAAAGATATTCCTTACTTCAAAATGCGGACTTAGTTGCTCCTTCATCCATGTTCCTACTGCAGCTTGTTCATCCCTTCATCATAGCTTGTACAATGTCATTTTTTCATAGGTCAGGTTTTCTCCTGAGTGCCTGTCTCCCCAGCTGGTCCACATTACTGTTATTGTTTCAGTCTTGTGACTCAGTCCCGGATCATGGAATGAGAGCAGAAGAGAGGTCTCCATCTTCCAGATCGCTTTCTTCTTGTCCACAGGCTGGGTCATGGCATGATGGTGAAATGCTATCTTCATCCACTGGTGTGGCCAAAGCCAAGGGCATATCCTAGAGGATGCTCAGTCCCTGATTTAATCACCCATCTGCCCTGGGCAGTGCATAGAACCCCTTGAGTTAGAACAGCTGGGTTTGTGCCACAAGCAACATAAATTATAGACTACTTCACTTTTCTTCATGAGCTTCGCTAATCGTTACTATAAGTCAGAACATAACATGTATCAGAAATGTTTGAAATCTGAAATTGTTGAAACAATTTCAAAGCCTATCAGAAAAGATTCGTAATTATGGAGTCAATCTCTGCACAGAAATTTTACACACAGCATGTTATGTACCACTCAAAACACACTATCAAGTTGACACTTTTCTCTAGATTTTATGGGAAATAAAAACAGATTCTGAGAATTTAAGTGTCCTTAATATCAAAGAAAATAAAAAGTAGTGAAGGCACTAACCAGATAAAGAAACTATAACTTTAAGATTCCAAAAAGGCTGTACTTTTCCACTCTACTACGCTGTCACCTTCTCCAAACATTAGATGTCTACAGAGAATTATACTGGTATACTGCTACCTTTTTCCTAGTTGCAGTTATTAGGTGGCTTCATGGGAGATCCCTTGCATTTCAAAATTGGAATCAGCCACATCGTATCCTCTGCGGGAAAAATTCACTCATGATATTGACAAATTACTCCAAGTTACATTTGCTTTAGTAGTGCAGAAAGATGTAAGGAGGTCTGTGGTCTTTTTCTGAACCTGGTTATCAATCTGTTCCTTAGATGAGTGCCCAAGTAATATTTTGATCCTTTAGGAGAAAAAAGAATTTACATTGTCTATCCAATAACATTCCTTCTTTGTTATTTGGGATCCCTCTAACAATCCTTTACTGGTTCCTTCATACCTTCTGAAGGTATGAAAATTCTGACAAATGAGAAGCCCATACGTATTTTTGATCCACTGCATGAGGAAGGTACTTTCTTCTTTGCTCTCCTCCATGCCCTCATCCAAATTGTCCCTGGACTTCAGATTTTCCTGCCCTAATCTTGATGTCACTTCTTCTTCCCTTCCACAATCTGTCTGCAGTGTTCCAACTCTCCAACTACTGACAGTTAAATCATCACCCTAGTAGATGCCTCAGCTAGTTCTGTGGCTGGTTCTCCTAGGAAACAAAGCATACCATGTTCTTTTACATTAAAATATAACCCCAGCTTCTCTGATATCTGCCTTTAATTCTTTCATTAAAGAGGCAGTAGAGATTGCAGATTCTGTAACCAGAATATCTATGTTCAACTGGATCTACCAATTACTACCTGTTTGACCTTGAACAAATTACTTAATTTCACTGTGATTTGGCTTTCTTATCTGTAAAATGTGGCAATGTAATCATGCCTAGCTCATAGTATTTGACAAGAATTAAATTGTTTAATTCATGTGCGCTACTTTACAAGAGTGTCTGCACACACTCAGCCCTGCTCCTTTCTATTGCATTAACCTTGTTTAACAACTTGCATCAGACTTCAGGCTCTAATTCCAGAAACACTCGTGCTGAACCTCACATCCTCAGCTCCTTTTTTATGTTTTAATCAATTCTTTTCATTTTATTGCTGGCAGATGTTTCTCATTCTCTCATTATTCTGTGATTCATCTTTAATTTTTATATTCTTCCAGAACTAATAATCACTTCCAATTTCAATTGACTGAGAATACACAGAAAAAATGAGAATTATAATTTCCACTTCAGCAAGAGCAGAGTCATCCTCCAATACCTGCCATATAGCAGATTGCATAGAGTTAAACTTGCTTTCCTTGCCTAGGTTCTTACTTTCTATCCAAACCAATAGTGCTAGAGAAAGAAGGCAGACAAGTCATAGATAAGCATTTATCTCACCTGTCTCCTCCTTCTGATTCCCAAGAGGTTCACATTGCAACCTAGACCCAGCTGTCTTTGTGACTTAATGGTAACAGGTTACACCTGGTCTGCAATAGGAACTGAACGTGTGCTTCAAATCAATCTCAAATGTAGTTTGCTTTCAATTATTTATTTTACTGTTAGCCTCCTGATTTCCTTGGACATGTATATAGTATATTAATGCTGATACATTCTGAGTAACTGAAAGGCAACTTTTAAAATTCTTATGTTTCCACAGAATTATAAATACCCAGAAGTTAATTTAATCTTTTATGACCCATAATTATCAAAAACACAGTAATACTAAACACATTTATTCTACACTAAAAGTAGAGTGTAAACACTACGATTTAGAGTAATTGACATCTTAGTGAAATCCAAACTGTCAAGTAACTGAAATTATGATTTAAAATGCAATATATAATTAGTATGACTTTTTTCAAAAAATGGAGATAGTCTTACAGCTCAGAATCCCAACAAAATGCTAGTTTTAAAATACTATAAATCATGTATGTGATTACATTTTTTTCTTCACAGTATACAGTTTCTTAAATGTCAGATACTATTGGTGGAAAATAAATTTTGGAATTTCCTATCATTTATTTTCTTCAGAATTTACTTTAGCCTTGTCAAAAAATGCTTTGTTTTTAGTAGCACATTTATACACTATAATCATCATAAAGGCAGCCACCAAAAATAATATACTATGACAACAACAAAAATGCCTAAAACACATACATTGCTGATATTTTAGCAGCTCTATATATTATACATTAATCAATATGAACATAATAGTTTCTCAATGGCAAATGTCAGATTTTTCTTTGTAAATTGAAAACCGGTCTTAGAAAACACAAACTAACCATAAATAATATATAGAAACATTGTTATAGATTGTTTGTTACTAATGTGGTAGAAACTGATAGTTGTCTCCTTATGGCCACTCCCCACATTTTCTATAAAAATAGGCTCAAGTTTTTACCTAAACATATGACTCCCTAAAATGAAAATTGCATATCCCAGCTCCCATGTACCTGGATGTGACCAAATGATTCAATTTTGACCATTGGGAACAAGTGAAAACAACATGAACAGCTTCTAGAAAATGTCTTTAAAAGAGTGTGCCTGCCTCCTTCTTTCTAACTTTTGTGCTGCCCAGAATGTGGATATAATGGCTGGATCCTGAGAAATCATCTGAAGCCTCGAGATATTTTTGATAATAAAAATGATACATAGCAAAACAACAAGAAAGAAGCCAGCCTGGCTGACTTAAAATTCCACATTAGCTAACTATGAAATTCTTTACATTTTCATCATCAATAGAATATATTTTAAAAATTTGGTAAATTTACAAAATGGAATCCTAAATTTAAAAATGTACTACAACTACATGTATAAATATGATTTTTTCACTAACAAAGCTGAGCAAAGCAAACAAAAACAGTGTAATAGATATGATTTCATTTCCTATATATTATTCTAGAGTTTGGATTACTAACATATATGATAAACATAAAAAACAAAGTAAGAGGGTTAACAAAAATTCTATAAATAGAAAACATTTCCATATCTAAGTAACATGTAGTAACAGAAAACCAATTTTCCTAGTGTAATTATTAGAAAGAAATAGATACATTTGGAAAGTCATATTTTAGAGATTAGAGATCTATGGAAACAACAAGAATGTGATAAACCAAAATCTCAGGCAAGGGAGACCCTTCTGTAGCTGATAATCACTGGCTGCTTTCAGCCTGTAAAGCCTTAATTAATTTGGTGCATGGGTGAGGCTCAAGCTAAGCCCTAGTAGGCATCCTCTATCAGAGGAAAAGAGAATCCAACAAAGCTATTGCTTATCTCATGAGCCTGACCCGAGACATGGGAAACTAAAGGAACTCCAAACAGTCAGTAAGCTTTCCCCACAGGACATGTGCTAAAGAAAGTGGAGACTCGGGGATAGGTAAGAGGTTTTATAAAAGGAGAGTAAAATATCCCACATCCCTACAATGCATAAGAGAACAGTTATACGAGAGAATGGAAGCCCACCACAAATACACAGCCAATCTCCTCCTTGATACACATGCTACAATTTGCATAGGAAAGAAGACTAAAGAGTTAAGCTGATAGTTATATAGTTAAGTTGTAGTTATTCAGCACTGAGGAGAAAGAGATCAGCCAGAGTTTTAATCAAAATCTGGAATGGCCACACCGCACAAAAGTACCAGAAAGAATGTGAATCTTTTTAAAACTGCAACACAACTAAAAACTTGGCCCAATCTGTGCAGCATACAATGGTTCTTTTAAAATATTGTCTAGCAAACAATCAAAAATTAATAGATATATGAAGTAGTACAGAAATTTGACCAATAATTTAAAAAACAAAACATGAATTATACAAATAGACTCATAGGCAATCCAGATACTGGTGTTGGAGGATGAAGAGTTTAATATATTATTAGCATACTCAAGACAAATGAGGAAAAGACAAATAAAATGGATGTAAATGTGGCAATTTTAGTAGAGATTCATATGAAAATAAAAAATGAAAATTCTAAATCTGTGAGGCAAACACAGGATCCTCTGTATACTACAATTAAAAAGAAAAGATTGTTAATCTAAATGACAATAACAAAACCCAATTATATGCTGGCTTTAGCACAATTTAAACATACACTTTAAATCTTAGGATACAGATACTTTAAAAATAAAATTATAAAATATAATGTACTATGCAATTCTATCATCAACAACAATGAAGAATGTCTGGCTGTATTCCTACTAGACAAAATAGATTTAAAACCAAGAGGTATTAGAAAAGATTAAGAGAGATAATTCATAATAATAAAAGGATCAATCTTTCAGGAAGGCATAGCAAATTAAATATGCAGGTACCTAATGATATAACGTCCAAATTTATGAAGTAAAAACAAGGAAATATTTTAAAAAGGAACTATCAAAGTTGAAGATTTTGACATTTCTTCTTTAGAACACACCGCATTGACTTAATAGACATATATAGAACCCTGTATCCAACATCTAAGAAATACACATATTTTTTAAGTGAAGGAGTATTTAGCAAAACTGAATGTATATTGAATAATCCCAGAATATTAAGAAATTAAGCAAGGCGGGGAGTAGTGGCTCATGCCTGTAATCCCAGCACTTTGGGAGGCCGAAGCAGGTGGATCACGAGGTCAGGAGATCAAGACCATCCTGGCTAATACGGTGAAACCCCGTCTCTACTAAAAATACAAAAAATTAGCCAGGCGTGGTGGCGGGTGCCTGTAGTCCCAGCTACTCGGGCGGCTGAGGCAGGAGAATGGCGTGAACCCGGGAGGCGGAGCTTGCAGTGAGCCGAGTTCGTGCCACTGCACTCCAGCCTGGGCGACAGAGCGAGACTCCATCTCAAAAAAAAAAAAAATAAATAAATAAGAGATTAAGCAAAACACTTCAAAAATGTATGGGTCACAGAAGACATAAAGAAAACTTATATGTAGGTGAATTGAATGATAATACAATTTATTCAAACTTTTGGCATGTAGTGACATGGTATCAGACAAGTTTTTAGTTTTCAATTATATTTTAAAAAAGAAAAAAATTGAAATGAATAGTATATGCTTTCATGTCACTAAACCACAAGAAAATCCAGCAAATTATTCCCAAGTAGAAAGAAATATAAACTATCAGAAATCAATGAAAATACAAAACAGACACAGAGTAGAGAAAAATCAAAGCCAAATTCTGATTCCTGGAAATTATTAATAAACTATTAGCAAGACTAATTATGAGGAAAAAATTAAGGAAAGCTTAGAATAGTAGCCTTAGGAATGAAAATGGGGTATCACCAGTGATTTTTCTTTAAAAAAAAGATAATAAAAGGATACCATATTAATCACTTTATTAAAAGAATAATAGATAGTGTGCTCATAAATTTGACAACCTAGTTAATATAGGCAAATTTCTTGAAAAACATAATTTACCAAGCTGGACTCGGTAAGAAATACACACACACACACACATACACACATACAGACACAGACACACACACAGAATTTTTTTCTGCTCAAACATTTGAAAGTAAGAAGTAGGCACCATGACACTTCATCTCTCAATATTTCATCATGCACTTCCTAAACTGGGACATTCATCTGTATAATGACAGTAACATCCTCACACTCAATAAATATTTAGATAATATTATTTTTAAAACAGCTCACAAATTCATTTATTCATCTCAAAATTTTTCTTAACTTTTTCACTATCCAACATCCAAAGATCACACATCACATTTAGTTTTCATGTTTAATCTTCTTTGATCTAGAATAAACAGCCCCACTTTCTTTTCATTTTATACAATTTTGATATTTTGAACTGTCATGGCAATTGTTCTTGTAGAATATTCTACAATCTGGAATATTTTCACATAAATTGAATCAGGTTAAACATTTTTGTCATGCTACAACACAGATGACAATACTAGGAATGATACTTCACATTGCCTTAAACTATGAGCCATACAATATCAGCAAATCACATTTTGTGATGCTGAGCTTGATGACTTGTTTAACATAGGCCTGCCAAATGTGTTTTGTAAAGTTTCCGTTCTCTCTGTAATTATTAAATAATCTGTGTGGTAATATTTTCAGGCTTTCTGAATTTTTTTTTCTCCATCAACTTTCCATTTAACCACCGATGGGCCTTGCAGGAATCAATTAATACCATGGTGTTTTCAACATGGCAATCTTTCTAATCCTACTACCCCTTTCCTTTTGAATAGCCAGTAAAACTTATCAATTCCTTGTTATTTGATGTGGTATAAGTCATTACCATCATTATTTTTTTTCCGATGCTCAAATTAGATGCTGAGTGTGGGAGCCCATTCAAATCAAATCCATGTTGTTTCGACAAGAATTCATTATTATTTGAACATCTCTTGTTTTCAAGCATAATAAGATATCCTAGGCTCACCTCATCATTTATATGTAATGTATTTGGAATTAGATATTTCTCCAAGGTGAGTGGTTTCTATTAGTGGAAGCAGATTTTTTAGAAAACACCATCTGCACTAGCTGTGTTTATGTGGTTGCTACTGTGGTTATCGCTTGTAGGCACTTCCAATGAACATATATGATAAATATATTGTTCTAAAAGTCATGCATTCATTCACGTTGTTATCTCTAGTTGAAACCCAACACCACAGGGTTCTTCAATTTCACCCACTCCTGATTTGCATAACCTTCTCCCACAGTACGAATCCTGATTTCAAGCATCAGAACCCATTGATTTTCTATTAGGTTGGTGCAAATGTAATTGCAATTTTTGCCATTACATTCAATGGCAAAAACTGTAATTACCAACCTAAATATATCCATATCATACATAAACTGATAATTTCTACATAAATACCACCATCCTCAAACCCACTAAGAATATTTTGAGTTCTTTGCAGTTATTTTTGTCACCAGTTTATATTCTAACAAACCTGTAAAATTAGAGTAATGTGATCAAATGTTACCTTAATTAGTTTAATTTTGTTTGCTTATGTTATCTATTTGATATAGTGCTAAGATGGATTTCTTGAATGGGAGAGAAATAATCTTGTGTTTTTTAGGTCACTATTGTTTCAAAGTTTTCTCTTAAAGTTAATCTTACAGTTTACACTAGGCATGCTGCACCAAAATAATTGCTCTATCTATCTATCTATCATCTATCTATCTATCTATCTATCTATCTATCATCTATCTGTCTATTTATCTATATACTTTTTAGGATAATATAATTATATTGTTATAAATCTTTGATTTAACTAATTCTTAAAAACAATAAAAGGTTAAGTGACATTTTGACTTCTGCTTTTCTGAGAGTTAGCTAAACAAATTCTTTATTTTAATATCTCCTTATTTCATAAAGTGCTGTGAGAAAATATGTGTGATTTTAACATCTGTGTCTCAGTTATTTTGAACCACCCATAAGAGTATTAAAGTCAAATACCATTTTTAAAGAAACCTATAAAAGTAGCTTCCTTAAAATGAAGAAATAAGTAATAAGTACAATCTGAAAAATTGGAGATTTAACATCAGAGAGCGCTGAATGGAGTCTCCAGTATGACAACCTTGAAAAGGCCTTGAAAGCAGTCAGTGCTAGTGTAGACTCAAAGCAGGAAGATGAAAGACAGGTAGGAAAATATTGCTAGCAATAAAAAGGATCAGATACATTGTCAGGCAAGTTATTAGAAATATTTTATTGAGAAGAACTTTAAAAGGTGGTAGAAGAGTTAGAAAGACTTATCTAAAGGCTCACGGAAACTGCAAAGTTACATTACAAATGTTCTAAAGAAAAAAATATATAATCATACTACTTTTATCTAGTTATAATAATGAAAATATTGAGAAACATTTTAACGTTAAACCAATATATAAATTTAACGGGAGAAAGAAGGAAATAAAGTAGTTTAATTATATTAAAATCCTTATCTACCCTAAGAGGAAGTCAATAACGTTCACAATTTGTAGATCTATAGATTGTACTGTGTGCATAATATTTCGAAAGATGAAGTTAAATGTCAGGGGAAAAATACAACTAACACCTAAAAATGTCTCAAGTTCTATCTATTGAGACTCAGTAATGGGACTACTGGTTACCATATGAATACTTTTTAAACCATGCCTCCATTTTAATAAAATTTAAACTAATTTAAAAAAATAAAATCTTTCACTTCCCTTCTTCATGCTGCTTCTTTCCTTATTTTTAGCTTGTCTATAGTTGCGGTACAATGGCAGCCACCATGCTATTGATTTTTATTTAAAACATCATTCACATGAACATTGCTCTCAGATGCCATACAAAAAATAGCTTTGACATATTTCACCCCTAAAATGAAATGAAATCTTCTTGTGTCACTCTTTGAGTTAAAGGCTGTGGTTGTTTTCAAGAGATTTTCTTCTCATTTTGAGCCCAAGGTGCATATAGTGAAGAGAAGAAGGGTGGATGGCTGAGTTGTATAGCTGGCAGGCTTTATAGAGTGTTGAGTCCACACTCACTTCTGAAATTTTGTGAAATGTACTCATTCTTCCTAGTAAGGGCTTTATGTTTCTACCATGTTGGGATGCATTTGGACTACAGATTGTTCCCACAAATCAGTGGCAAGTTCTGAACAATTGTGAGCCCCTAAAAGTTTCTTCTTTTGTTGAAGGATTGTGTTACTGGTTTATACTACAGAATATATACTCGACTATTCCCCTGGCTGATTCTTTTACTCTTCAGCTTGCCTCTATTCAATTTAGAAGGTTTGAAAAGCAACAGTGTGAATTTGTTAACTCACTGACTTTATCTGCTATCACCTCTGGAAAATGAAGACAGAATGAGGATGTGTATCATAGCATAATTGAATTACCGGGTTTTTTTTTTTCATGGCTGCTACTTTTCAGAGTTTATGGCCTGTTAAATGGAGATATATTCTTATTTCCTTTATTTTTATAGTTACTTGTGAGGTTTTGTTCTCCTTTTTACTTCTGGATTTATCTATTTGTTCTTGTTATTCCATTAAATTTTAGGTAAATAAAATTGTGTAATTCATCATTACTTTTCAAATTTTCTTCAGAAATCTAACATATTTTTTAAGAAAGTAAAGCATATAGGAGTCAGCACAGATTATGGTTAGTTCTTATATATTTGTTACAGTTGGAAGAAATTTTCTTCCCAGCTAAGGTTTTAGTTAGGGGCAGTTCAGTTTGGTTTTAGTTAAGGTGACTCTGTGTCCAGTTTGGACAATTGTTGTCCAAATTGAGACACATTTGAAAATTAAAGTGGGCAGAATTAATAAATACACTTGGACAATAAGTGTGAACAAGGATTGTCCAGAGACACCAGGATGTATAATCATTCAAGGTTTAGTGGAATATACAGAAGTCATTTGCAGTCACTTCTAAGCATGCCTAAGCAATTGCTGTCATCTCAGGAAGCATGGCTTTCAGCAATACCCCTACTGCCCACTATGCTGACAAAGCCAACGTCATGACATGAAGGTTCTGGGCCAGAGGTCATAATGCATTGTGACTTAGCCAGTGACTGTGTGGCTATGTGGGAAGCAGGTGGCTCTTGGGGAAAAAGAAGAAAACAACAACAGCAAAAACAAAACAAAAGAAAACAAAAAACAGGATATGAAATACGTGTAAAGAAAAGCTCTTCTTTAGGAATGTTTCCAGTTATCATATTGTAGAATTGTATGTGGAGATTTTGGTTCCTATCCAGGCTTAGAAAAAAACAGAAGCTTTCTCCTATCTGAGATACACGAAGTTCATAAAATTATAAATTAATCATGTAGGAACTATCTAAAATAAAATTTGTCAGAAATTTCTTGGTAGGGCACACATCTATAGCAAAAGTACAGTGGGTTCATTTATTATGAAGTTGCACATTTTATGCATCCAAATATTGAATTATAAATAATAAATTTTATGTCAAATAACGGATGCAATTATTTTTATTTTGTATCTGTAGGAAATAAAAGTATGAAATACTTGTCAAAAGACAAGTCATTAAAAGATGTTTGCTAGGTCGTTAATAAAAAATAATTTTTCCTGTTGTGATGTTTGCAGCATTTGTTGTCTTTTAAAAATTTGTAATTTATTGTGATTTCTTTTCTTGTAGGTACTCATATTTGTATCTAATTCATTGTTTGTAATTTCACATTCTCTTTTGTTAACGGGTGGCCCTCAACATTCTCTAAGCTTCAGGTTTCACAAAACCTGAAATTGTCCTTAAGTGTAGCCTACTTGCTTTGGGTTCAGTCTTAATTCCAAATCCAACTCTGTTTTGTCTTGCCCAGGTTTAATTCATCTGAGAGTCAATTCCTTCCTCTGTAAAAACGGGGATTCAAATAATCATATGTGTACAAGTGTATGGATAATTTTGTTCTCAACCAGATACCTACCCCCATGGGGTTGTATAAGTTAAATATTTCTTTAAAAATGCTTAGATCAATGCCTAGCAATATCAATCAACCTAAAAATTGTAGCTATTTTAACAATTACTAATCAAATAAAGAAAACATGAGTACATATGATGACTGCTCCACAAACTTGTCTTCTTTTCACTAGCACATCCTGCTTATAGTTGAAAAGGCCAAACCAAATCAAGAGTGCAAACAAAAGAGGGATATTAACAGACCAGTCATTTCCATCAACTATTTATTAACTTCCTTGCTGCTTTTTAGTTTTTCCAGTTATGCTATAATTTCTCCAAAACTATGAAAAAAATCCACATTTCTCATCACTAAAGCTCAATCATTTCTTCCAAAAGCTAGACTAGGAAAAGTGGGTGATATTTTCAAGAAAATAGAGCCCTACCTAACAGAGCAGAAATAAACTTTATTGCCCTGGATATATAAAAGTCCTCATCTATTCCAATTAATATTCTCAGAATATTTGTTCTGCTTTAACTAGTAAGAGTAGAAGAAACGTGCTTTATATTAACAAAATAAGCACATTGAAATAAATTTGCTAATTCATTTTCGCTGGCTGAGATAGGTTAAAAAATCAGAAAAAAAATTGGAGGCTGGGCGTGGTGGCTCACACCTGTAATCCCAGCACTTTGGGAGGCCAAGGCGGGCGGATCATGAGGTCAGGAGATCAAGACCATCCTGGCTAACACGGTGAAACCCCGTCTCTACTAAAAATACAAAAAAATTAGCTAGGTGTGGTGGCGGGTGACTGTAGTCCCAGCTACTTGGGAAGCTGTGGCAGGAGAATGGTGTGAACCCGGGAGGCACAGCTTGCAGTGAGCCAAGATAGCACCACTGCACTCCAGCCTGGGTGACAGAGTGAGACTCCATCTCAAAAAAAAAAAAAAAAAAATTGGAAAAATATTTCTATCTTTCTGTATTCTTTATATTCTCTTCAGTGTTCACAATTTTACAAAGAAAAAATTTTTTAAAAAATTTATAGAAGTCAATTAATGTGTCAAAAACTTTAAAATTTCAACTATAAAATATATCAATCATTTCCTATAATTGGACCACCTAATAAGTTGTTGGCTTTCAGAATTAGTTACACGTATAATGTTTATTTATTTATTACTTCTTTCAACAGGATGGATTTGAATTTTGGCAATTATGTGAGAATTTGCAAGCTGAAAATTGGCAGAGAACTGGCTAAAATATTTGTTGAATGAATGGGTGATTTAATGACTAGATGAATAAATACATAGAATAAATTATTTCAGATATACTTCCTATAAAATTGGATAAAATAAAAATTTAATTCTCCCGTACTTATCTCTGAAATATTTGTTCAGCTATGCTGTTTTCATTTTTCAAAATATTTTAGATCTATTTTTATTCTAAAAGAAAATTATGCAAATCATACTTAATCACTCTATAAAACAGTTCTGAATGAAGTGTTTCCAGTTATTCACAATTAGTTTGATAGCTAAGGTTATTAAACCAGTTTCCATGCTTATTTCATCTTGCTAGTTTATGCACTCATTTGCAATTTTTGAGGTTTTCATAGTAATTATAGGGGAAGAAAATTGTTTATAATATATTGAAATACTCTTCAATAAAATAATTTCTTATTGCTGGCCATATTTGCCTCAAAACCAGACATGCTAATAAAACCTCTATGGATAATTGTATTCAGTATCATTTGGGGCTCAGAAAAACACCTAATTTGAAGAGCTTTTGGTCAAAATATTAAAAGAATAATTAGTCCTTTATTTTGTTAAACTTATGGCATTTATGAGTATAGCTGTAAATCACAACACTTGGATCTCTACATTATAATTAGTCTATACTTAAACAAGTTAAAATTTCCCCTACTCTTTATAGAGAAAATAAAAATGATTTTTTACTCTTGGTAAGTAATGTTTCTGAGAGTTCCAATGTTAATTCACCATTTACTCCCACCACCATCCTTCCACATCAGCACATGCACACACACACACACACACACACACACACACACACACGATCTTTTAAGTACCCTCCTTAGGTAATTTTTCTTTGTTTATAAATCATTTATGCATTGGAGCTGGGATTTTAACTCACTTAGGTAAAATATAAACATTTTACCTGAGTTTCTTAGAGCAAACCTCAACAACTATTTAAATCATTCAGGGAGTACATGGAGAAGATTTATTGGGACAAAAGCCCCACTGAAGATTTTAAGTATGAATTTTCAGTCTTTCTGCTCTGGTTTCTCTCCATCTTTGTGGTTTTATCTACCTTTGGTCTTTGATGTTGATGATCTATGGATGGGGTTTTGGTGTGGATGTCCTTTTTGTTGATGTTGATGCTATTCCTTTCTGTTAGTTTTCCTTCTAACAGACAGGCCCCTCAGCTGTGGGTCTGTTGGAGTTTGCCGGAGGTCCACTCCAGACCCTGCTTGCCTGGGTATCACCAGCGGAGGCTGCAGAACAGCAAATATTGCTGCCTGATCCTTGCTCTGGAAGCTTCGTCCCAGGAGGGCACCTGCCTGTATGAGGTGTCTGTCAGCCTCTACTGGGAGGTGTCTCCCAGTCAGGCTACATGGGGTTCAGGGACCCACTTGAGGAGGCAGTCTGTCCATTATTGGAGCTTGAACACCATGCTGGGAGAACCACTGCTCTCTTCAGAGCTGTCACGCGGGACGTTTAAGTCTGGAGAAGCTGTTTGCTGCCTTTTGTTCAGATATGCCCTGCCCACAGAGGTGGAGTCTATAAAGGCAGTAGGCCTTGCTGAGCTGGAGTGGGCTCCACCGAGTTCAAGTTTCCCTGCTGCTTTGTTTACACTGTGAGCATAGAACCACCTACTCAAGCTTCAGCAACGGTGGACGCCCCTCCCCCCGCCAGGCTCCTGCATCCCAGGTCAATCTCAGACTGCTGTGCTAGCAGCAAGCAAGGCTCCAAGGGATGGGACATGCTGAGCCAGGCACGGGAGGGGATCTCCTGGTCTGCTTGTTGGGAAGACCATGGGAAAAGTGTAGTATTTGGGCAGCAGTGTACTGCTTCTCCAGGTACAGTCACTCATGGCTTCCCTTGGCTAGGAAAGGAAAATGGCCCAATCCCTTGCACTTCCTGGGTGAGGCAATACCCTGCCCTGCTTCAGCTCACCTTCTGTGGGCTCCACCCACTGTCCCACCAGTCCCAATGAGATGAACCAGGTACATGAGTTGGAAATGCAAAAATCACTTGTCTTCTGCGTCAGTCTCACTGGGAGGTATAGACCAGAGCTGTTCCTATTCTGCCATCTTGGAAGTGAAGGCAAAAATAAAGATGTTCTTTGAAACCAATGAGACAAAGATACAACATACTAGAATATCTGGGACACATTTAAAGCAGTATGTAGAAGGAAGTTTATAGCACTAAATGCCCACAAGAGAAAGCAGGAGAGATCTAAAATTGACACCATAACATCACAATTAAAAGGACTAGAGAAGCAAGAGCAAACAAATTCAAAAGCTAGCAGAAGACAAGAAATAACTAAGATCAGAGCAGAACTGAAGGAAATAGGGACACAAAAAACCTTTCAAAAAATGAATGAATCCAGGAGCTGGTTTTTTGAAAAGATCAACAAAATTGATAGACTGCTAGCAAGACTAATAAAGAAGAAAAGAGAGAAGAATCAAATACATGCAATAAAAAATGATAAAAGGGATATTGCCACTGATCCCACAGAAATACAATCTACCATCAGAGAATACTATAAACAGCTCTATGAAAATAAACTAGAAAATCTAGAAGAAATGGATAAATTCCTGGACACATACACCATCTCAAGACTAAACCAGGAAGAAGTTGAATCTCTGAATAGACCAATAACACATTCTGAAATTGAGGCAATAATTAATAGTCTACCAACCAAAAAAAAGTCCAGGACCAGACAGATTCACAGCTGAATTCTACCAGAGGTACAAAGAAGAGCTGGTATCATTCCTTCTGAAACTACTCCAATCAATAGAAAAAGACAGAATCCTCCCTAACTCATTTTATGAGGTCAGCATCATCCTGATACCAAAGCCTGGCAGAGACATGGATGAAGCTGGAAACCATCATTCTCAGCAAACTATCACAAGATCAGAAAACCAAACATCTCATGTTCTCAATCATAGGTGGGAGTTGAACAATGAGAACACATGGACACAGGGAGGGGAACATCACACACCAGGGCCTGTGGGGGGTAGGTGGCTAGGGGAGGGATAACTTTAGGAGAAATACCTAATGTAGGTGACTGGTTGATGGGTGCAGCAAACCACCATGGCACGTGTATACTTACGTAACAAACCGGAACATTCCGCACATATAACCCAGAACTTAGTGTCATTAAAAAAAAAAAAAGATTTTAAGTATGAGCCATCTAGATCTTCTATTTTAAACTATAGAGCTAAGAATGCTGGGGAGAAGAAACCTAACATAAAGAAAGAGTTTTCATGGAGAGATTTGTGAATGCTGTCTTCTATCTAAAAAAATAAACTCAAAAATATTTATGGGAGACCTACAAAGATTTTAGGGGAATTATATTGGTGTAAACACAATTATCTTGGATTTTAAAAAGCAGAAACAGTTCAACCTGAAAATAGGTCTTGGACCCAAACTTCTATAGACAGAAAGCAGGCTAAGAAAACTGCTCACCTGTAAACATGGGCCATCCTTTAGGAAAAAGGAAGAATAATGAAAAGTTGAAAAAGTGGAACCAAGAACCCAGAAGGTAAAGCCAAGAGCTAAGGAGAGTCATTACTAAAGAGCAGTAGAACTGAGTCCTAATCAAGGAACTTCCAACCAATGCCCAGCTGTATTTTAAAGGCGCTATAGAACAGCAACTCCTGTGTGCCTCTTGTTTTTCTGTTTGTTTGTTTGGTTTTTGGTTTTTTTTTTTTTTTTGGAATAGTATAACAATTATGCAATTTTTCCCCACCATTTTGTATTGAGAGTATGTCAGAAGGGGATGCAGATAACTCATCTCTATTTTATAGGTCTCTTGATTTTAAAAAGCTATGCTTGCAAAACTATACTCTAGATAACACGATCAAGGAGTTGTATCTGTACCTGGATCTGCGTTAGATGATAAGATTCTAGACCTAGAACTGTTGCCAAGATAAGACTTTTGGGAGCCTTGGAAAAATTGAGAGTATCTTGAATGTGAGAAGAACATAAATTATTGAAGTCCGGGTGCAAACTATGATAGGCTTTCCCCAAAATGGACTGCAACAATCCTAGCCTTGTGGTGTTTATACACCTCAATAGAATCCTTCTTCCTTGAGTCATGGATGGTTGTCTAATGTGACTAATAGAACACATATCCACACTATTAAAATTATTGACAGACCTACATAGTTGAGTATAATAATAATAACTTATTTCACTTCAAGTCTGTGTAATGAAAACATGAAGGCTTCTACTTCGGCAATGCATTGCTCACTCTGGAGGAAGCTGGCTGTCATGGTGGGAGGGTGCAGGGGCAACCTGTGGTGAGGCTCACATGGAGCAAAAGCCATTTGCCAGCAGCTACTTGCCCACCATAAAAATTGAACACTCCAGCCCTAGGCAAGCATTCAGATATCTCTAGCCACAGTCAATTTCTGACTGCAAACTCACAAAAAATTCAAACAAGAACTTTACCCACTGGATTTTTCCTGAATTCATAACCCACAGACATTGTGAGAGATAATAAATGATTATTGTTGCTTTAAATCACTAAGTTATGGGGTGATATGTTAGGCAGCATTAGATAACTAATATAAATTCTCAATTTATGATGTCATTTATATAAAGTTTATAAACATTGCAAAACAAAATTATAGGGTTTAGGATTGCATAGTTAAGTGGTAAAAATACAAAATTATAAATAGCAAGAAAATATTCATTAAAAAAATAAGCTCATGGTTTTCCTTGTAAGCAGGGAGAATTTGCATTTTCTTCTCCTTTTCTTTTTCAATAGGGGTGGGGTCTTATTATATTGCCAAGGCTGGTCTCAAACTCCTGAGCTCAACCAATGCTCTTGCCTTGGCCTCCCAAAGTACTGATATTACAGACATGAGTCACCATGCCCAGCTTGCATTTTCAAATACCCTATCACATGTAACTACACTTTTCAAAAAACATTTTAATTAAAATAATGAAAGGTAAAGTAAAATATAGGATGATACATTTTTTGCCTGATATATTTTAGATACTAATGAAAATTTTCTGGAGGAGCAAGGACCATGGGTGACTCTTGAAAGAAAGAGTTAAACAAGAATAAAAAAACTAAGCAAAGAATGGAAGAAGGTTGTTCTCTGCAGTGGAAACTGTAAGTTCAAATGCTTAGAGACATATCAGAGTTTGAGTATTCTTCCACAGGCACTTGCAAGCTATTGAGATTTTACATTCAGGCATGATAAGAAGAGATTTGCGTTTTCAGAAGGAAAAAGCTAGTGATGTTATGGAGAGTAGTTTGGAAGATGTCAACAGTAGAACAATGAGGAAGTTTGTATAGTTCTCTATGGAAAAATTATGAGGGCTTGAATTAGGAAAATGGCAGTAGCCATGGAAAGTATTTGCCATACCAGTTAACGACAACTCTTTCTAATTTCTGAAATCAAAACGGTAGGTATTATTGACTGTTCTCTCCCTCTTTCACACCTCATAGCTAATATTTTGCAAAATTCTTTGCCAAATATTTTACTTTCAAAACATATGCATATTTCAACTACTTCTCATCAGTTCCCCTGCTACTACCGCTGTCCAAGTCACATTTATCTCTCCTTTTGGCCATTACTGTAATTTCTTAATCGGTCTTCCTACTTCCATGTTTGCCCTTCCTCCTTCAGGCTATCCAGAGTGACCTTGTAAACACAGAAATTAGATCCTGTCAATCCTGTACCCCCAAACCCTTGAATGGCTTCCAATATGGCTCAAGATAAAAGCCAAAGTGTTTTAAGTGGCCCTATATATGCAGGTCCCCTATAAACTGCCTTTCACTCTTGTTCACTTTAGTGCAGCCATCCTAATCATCTTGCTCTTTCATACTTAAGATATCACCCCTGTTTCAGGGATTTTGCAATCTCTGTTCCTCTCCTTTCAGTGCTCTTCCCCCAAATATCTGTAAGGCTCACTTGTTTGCCTCCTCCAGGTCTTTACTCAAGTATCACTTCCTCAGAGAATCCTTTCCAGAACATCTTACATAAAATTACTGTCCTTCCAAACTCTTCTATCCCCTCCCCCACCCTATGATTTTTTTCTGAGATGTCATCTCATTTATTTTACTGAATTATGCTATTTATAACCTGTTATCCCACCTCATCCATGGAAGCTGACAATTTATATACAAAGCTTGTAGAAAAAGGACTGGCACGCGGTAGGTGCTCAATAAATTTGTTCAATGAATTAATTAACGGATGGATTTAAAAGGTACATTTTATTATTTTTGTGATGAATGAGGACAGCGAAGAAGTCAAAGTTATGTTCCAAATTTTGTCTGTGTTAGAACTATCCGGGACCTCTTGTCACTATATACAAACCATATACAAACTCCTTTTAGTCACAGGTCCTGAAAAGCCCATGTCAGTTAAGCTACAAACAAAAGTCTTCGAAAACTGAAATCTCCACACAATATTTTTCTATTTCTACAAAATTTTAAAGAATTGTCTAAACTTCATTTGGAATTTTTTATAGCTAAAACAAACAAAAAATAGTTAAATATATCTGCTGTATATAATTTTTAAATTATTTTGAGAAGAAGAAATAAAGAGTGGTAAAATACACCTGAATATCTAGAAAAGACTAAAGAATGGTGTCAGCAACTTGGCAGAATAAGAGGCTCCTGACTCTCACCCCATGCATGGAAGCACTGAATAAACATCTATCCCTAGACAAATTCCCTCTGAGAGAAATTCAGAAATAAGTCAAGAGACTCCTACTAATTGAACAACTAAAAAAAATCCATTCAAATGTGTAGGAAAAGCTGAGGCACACTTGGGCATGGGCCCCACCCCAGCCACTGTACCATACAATCTGGAAGGAGTTCCCAACACCCAGCTTCTCCCTGAGAAGTGAAGGGTTTGAACCACACATATAGTGCCCTAACTCTAAGTTTATTCACAGCCTGGCTCTTAATTCACCAACTTTGAGTGTGGAGGAGATTAGGCACCCATGTGTCTCTCTAGATGGACCACAGAATACAATGGCGGTTTTATGTAGGCACACAGGCACTTCTAGGGGCTGGAAGCAACGCAGAAAAGGGGCTTAAACATGCAGCTTCCTTTTTCTGCCTAGAAGGAGTTTATGACACACTCTTCCAGTGTCAACTTGACAGCCTGGCTTCTAACTAACTTGCATTGGAGAGTTGAAGGAGCAGACAAACCGCAGCCCCCTGGCAGCTTCTAAACACAGATTGGCACTTCCTGAGTATTCGGCTTCTGAGTATACCACTTCCTGAGTATTCCCCCTCCAGCAAGAACTCCAGGCCTACCAATCCCTCCTGAAAATAGCTTATGCACTTTGAGCTCCCTGACTTTTATAGATACCACAGGGGGAAGAAAAGAGACAAGACACAAATAAATAAAATGAGAAATAAAAGAATGGACATTACAAGTGATATCCCAGAAATTCAACAGATCATAAGAGGCTACAATGCACAATTACACACCAGCAAATTGAATAGCCTAGAATAAATTAATAAATTCTCACAAATATATCACTACCAAAGATTGAATCATAAATAAATCAGAAATATGAACAGACCAATAACGAGTAAGGAGATTGAATCTGCAATAAAAAGTCTCCCATCAAAGCACAAGACCAGATACCTTCATGGATGAATTCCACTAAATATTTAAAGAAGAACTAATACCAATTCCTCTCAAAAGCTTTCAAAAATGAAAATGTAGGGCCAGGTGTGGTGGCTCATGCCTGTAATCCCAGGAATTTGAGAGGATGAGGTGGGAGAATTACTTGAAACCAGAAGTTTGAGACCAGCCTTGACAACATAGAGAGACCCTGTCTCTACAATCAATCAATAATAAAAATGAAACAGGAGGGATTACTTCTAAACTAATTTTAAGAGACAAGTATTACCCTGATACCAAAGCCAAAGACCCTACAAGAAAAAAGAAAAACTATAGGCCAGTATCACTGATGAACATAGGTGCAAAACTCCTCCACAAAATACTAGCAAACCATATTTAACAGTCCATTAAAATGATCATTCACTATGATCAAGCAGAATTTATGCCGGGATGTAAGAATGACTCAACATATGCAAATCAGTAAATATGATACACCATATTAACAAAATGAAAGTCAAATGCCATATGATCATCTAAATAGATGCAGAAAAAGTGTTTGACAGAATTCAATACCATTTTATAATAAAAAACTACCAAACTAGTATATGACTAGCATAAACTAACTAGTTTTATCTGGACTAGTATTATCGGGCATAAAAGCTTGGTATAGAAGGAAGGTATTTCCATGCAATAAAGGCCATATATGACAAGTCTGCAGCTTATATCATACTCAGTAGTAAAAATTTGAAGAGTTTCCTTTAAGATCTGGATCAAGGAAAGGATGCCCATTCTCACCACTTCTGTTCACTTCTGTTCTAGCTAGAACTGGAAGTACTAGCCAGAACAATTAGGAAATTTTAAAAAATAGTAAGAGGCATTTGAGTAAGAAAGGAAGAAGTGAGATTGTTTCTGTTTGCTGATGACATGATCTTACATATGGAAAACCCTAAAGGTTCCACAAAAAAAAAAAAATAAATGAATTCAGCAAGTTCCAGGATATAAAATCTACATACAAAGATCAGTAGCATTTAGATGCACTAAAAATGAACTATCTGAAAAATAAATTACGAAAAAACCCATTTATAATAGGATTAAAAATACCAAGGAGTAAGTTTAAGGAAATAAATGATCTGTATATTAAAAACTAAGACATTGGTAAAATAAATTGAAGGTGACAGAAGTGAATGGAAAGATATCCCATGTTCATGGGTTGGAAGAATTAATGTTAAAATGTCCATAGGACCCAAAGTAATCTACAGATTCAGTGTAATCTCTATCAAAATGCCTGTGTAATTCTTCACAGAAATAGAAAAAACAATCCTAAAATTTGCACGGAACCACAAAAGACTCCAAATAAACGAAGCAATCTTGACCCAAAGGAACAAACCTGGAGGCATTGTGCCACCTGATTTCTATACTACAAAGCTATATTAATCAAAACAGCATAGTACTGACATAAAAACTGGCACATTGACCAATGGAATAGGATAAAAAGTTTAGAAATAAACCCAGATATCTACAGTCAATTGATTTTCAACAAAGGTGCCAAGAACACACAATGGGTAAAGGACTGTCTTTTTAAGAAATTGTGTTGGAAAGACTGGCTATCCCATGCAGAAGAATAAAATGGGACCCTTATACTCACCCTGTATACAAGAATAAATGCAAAATAAATTACAAATTTAAATGTAATACCTGAAACTTTAGAACCACTAGTTGAAAACATAGGAACAAAGCTCCATAACATGGGTCTGGACAGTGATTTCTTACATATAACCCCAAAACCAAAGGCAACAAATGCAAAAAATAAACAAATGGGAGTGTCTCAAACCAAAAAGCTTCTGCACAGCAAAAGAAACAACAAAGAGATAATCTACAAATTGGGAAAATGTTTGCAAATCACACATTAAATAAGGGCTAACATCCAAAATAAATAAGGAACTCAAACTATTCAATAACAAGAAAACAAATAACACTATTAAAAATAGACAAAGGACCTGAGTAAACATTTCTAAAAAGAAGACATATAAATGGCCAACTGCTATATGAAAAACAAAAGTGCTCAACATCACAAATCAGAGGAAGGCAAATTAAAAACTCAATGAGATAACACATCACACCTGTTATATTGGCTATTATCAAAAAGATGAAAGATAAGTGTTGGCTAGAATGTGGAGAAAAGGGAAACCTTGTACACTGTTTGTGGTATTGTAACAGCACAGCCATTTTGGAAAACATTATGGAGGTACTTCAAAAATGTAAAAATAGAACTACCATCTGATCAATCCAGTAATTCTACTTCCAGGTATATATCCAAGGAATTGCAATCCGTGTGTGAATGAGATATCTGCACTACCATGTTCATTGAAGCTTTATTCACAATAATCAAGATATGGAAACAACCAAGTGCCCATTAACGGAATAAAGAAAATGTGATATATATATGTACACATAATGAAATACTATTCACCCTTTAGAAAAAGGATATTTATCATTTGCAACAACATGGATATACCTAGAGGACATTATGCTAAGTGAAGTAAGCCAGGCACAGAAAGGGAAATACCACATGATCTCACTTATATGTGGAATCTAAAATTGTCAAACTCATAGAAGTAGAAAGCAGGATGACGCTTACCAGAGACTAGGTTGGGGGAAGAATGCAGGGAAAGGGAAGACATTGGTCAAAGAGTACAAAGTTTCACTTAGACAGGAAGGATAAGTTCTGGTGTCCTACTGCACAGCATTGTGACTACAGTTAATAATAACATATTGTATATTTCAAAATTGTGGAAAGAGTGGATTTGAATTTTCCCATCACAAAGAAATAAGTATGTGAAGTGATAGATATATTAATTAGCATTATTTAATCATTCTGCAAAGCGTATATG
Organism: Homo sapiens; assembly: GCF_000001405.40. Taxonomy (NCBI): domain Eukaryota; kingdom Metazoa; phylum Chordata; class Mammalia; order Primates; family Hominidae; genus Homo; species Homo sapiens. The sequence goes on along the minus strand of NC_000005.10, from coordinate 17,997,621 downwards.
TACCAAAACATCAGTTTGTACCGTGTAAATCTATACAATTATTATCTATCAATTAAAAATAACATTTAAAAAACTGAAGCAAATGACACATTTGATTAGTTTCAGTTAGAAAACTAGAAAGAAAATGCATTCTATACACAATAATTTTGCCTATGTTTGTCTCCAAGAAGTCTAACATATTAATTTTTATTCCAGATATATAACATACATGAAGAATTTTCAGGAAATTGTTATAATAATGTAAAAGTTTTCAGAATTAAGTTCTTGAGAGTAATAGTCAAAGGAAATTGCCAAGACTTTTTCCTTCTAATAAAACTATTTCTTACGTATATACATTGATCATTATTGTAAGTAAAATACTTTGCTTGTCTTAGTCCACTATAATCCAATTAAATTCTCAATAATATTTAAAAGAATATCACTCATCTTTTTATGTATTTCTCAAAATTGAGACATCTAAAAGAAAAAAGTTCACATAGTCTAGTTGCAGATTTCTGCAGAGTCAACATGATATTAATATTATGAGACTATTTGGTAAATCTATGTCAAATTTTGGCCAACATTTCAGAGTTAAGTTGTGCTCCTGACACAGGAGAATCTCTCACAGGACTCAAGTACAAGAGTATCCATGTGGATAATGAATGCTGGTCTATTTCCCAGATGTATAACAAAGCTATGGGGAAAGTGGAGTCAGCTCACACTTCAAACACAGTCTGTTGATTCTGGTGATTAAATGCAATTTCTTCTCCGATATATTTTTCATACTAGTGTATGCATTTGACTTGTAATTAATACATCCTGGATTAATTTCTGGCTTATAATAAAGACCATGTAGTTTCACCAAATTTTAACATGTAATGTTTTTTAAAATAATAATTACAAGTATTTTTAAAAGTTTGTTACCAGGGCAAAAATCCAAGATGCACTTGTTTTGTTTCACCTATAGCATTTTCTATGTCTTTTGTACTTAGAGCACAAAATACTAAGTTTTATAGGACAGTGGGGTGAATTTGAGTAAAGCAACCCAATATATTTCCTAGAAATAAAAATGTAATTTTAAAATATAATAAATATAGCTGTGCAGAGAAGAAATCTAAAAGCAAAAGCAATGGGCCAGCTTTAAAATTACAAGGAGGTTTATAAAATCTTAACATTGCTTTTTGAACATCTAATAATATTCATCTTGGCAATTACATCAGAGTGCAATTTTATGGAAATTTATATGTACTCTTTTTGTGGTCAAGTCAACTATATCTTTCAGATCTTGAATAGTCATATAATTTCTGCTATCCTTAACAGTTATAATCATTTTAGCACTGTATATTCATGTTTTGTGTTTTTATTGTAAACAGAGACCTAAAACCATCATAAATAGCCGATGAGAAGTATACAATGGAATCACTTTGGCAAACAATTAGGCAATTTATTTTCAAGTTAAACGCAAACCTATCATGTGACTCAGCAATTTCATTTCTGGGTATTCAGAGAAGAGATAAGAGAACACTTTCACACACAAAAAAACTTGTATGGAGATGTTTATAGCAATTTCTTTTCATAAACGCCCCCAAATGAAAATGCCCAAATGTCTATCCATCAACAAGATAATAAAAAGATTATTTGAGGTATTTTCATGTAGTAAAATACTACTTGGCAATAAACAAGAACAACTTAGTGAAACATAAACAACATAGATGAATCTCAAAAGCATTATGCTGAGTGAAACAAATCAAATACTACAAGTATATTATATGATTCCTTATACCTGAAGTGACATAGAAAAACTATTCTATTGTGATAGAAATCAGAACAGCGGTGGCCAACTGTGGGTGGTGGCTGACTAGAACAGAATGTGAAAAAACACATCTAGGATGAAGGATAATTGAGATGTTGTTTACCACGTGTATACACTGATCCACGTTCATTAAATTACACACTTAGGATATGTGGTTTTCATCGTATGTAAATTTTATTTCAAGGAGAAAGTAAAAGAAAATATATCAAGTGATAAACAGGTACGAGGATGTACACTTCCTTAAGATTCCTAAAATGTACATAATTCTTATTCCAGGACTTGTACTTCTATCTCCTAAGGAAGGTATACAAAATAAACCTCCTCCTTGGTATATAAATAAAAAGATCTATATCTACTTATTAATTTAAACTTAAATCATTATATATAAGTGAAAATTTGAGCTAAATTAAACCCTCATTTATGCGTTGAAACACTAAGCAAGCTGTAATCCCAGCTACTTGGGAAGCTGAGATGGGAGGATCACTTGAGCCCAGGTGGCAGAGACTGCAATGAGCCAAGGTCTTGCCACTGCACTCCAGCCTGGGCAACAGAGCCAGACCCTGTCTCAAAAACACAAAAAGAATTTTAAAAAGGATTTAAATAATTTCTTAATATATATTTTACACTCTTAAACTCCTTAAATTTGTTACCTGCTATCTGTGAAACCTTACCAGTTTACTTCATTCTCTCTGTAAATTGGTGATAACGATAATGTCTCATTGAGTTTTGTGAGTATTAGCTACATGTAAAGTACATAAAAGTGACATGGAATACATAAGAGGTTTGTAACATAGTTATTAGACTTATTATTATTATTATTATTACCATGAGATTTGTAGGCTATGTTGAGCAGGAGTGGGTCCCAAACAAAATTAAACTTTTATTAGGAGAAATGAAATTTTCAGTGAGTAGTTAACTGATGGTGTCTTCTACCAATACTTACTTCTTAAGATACTCTACTGAAACATAAGAGATTGGTTTATTTTTAAAGATGGTTAAGGCTGTCACTGATTGTATAACTTATAAAAATTACTTTGATGAAATTAACAATTCATTTCTTGGTTAGTCATTCAGCTTTTTGGTCACAATGGGCCTCATATGCCTTTCCTTAATGTTCTATGTAAAAGGACAAAATGGTAATGAACAACTTTAAATGTGACTCACACAAACAACAGAATAAATTATTACAGTCCATCTGGATTCTTCAGTTGATCATTTTAGAGAATTAAATATAAAGTATTTGAAAAAATTTAAAAAGAGACTTTCAACACATGAGGTTGACTTTGGTAAGGAGAATAACATCTTAAAATCTGTCATCATTTAAAAGAAATAAATTATTTAATTAAAATTGAGTGAAGATTGTAATTTCAGCACTTTGGGAAGTCCAGGCAGGCAGATGTCTTGAACTCATAAGTTACAGACCAGCCTGGGCAACATGGTGAAATCCTGCCTCCACAAAAAATACAAAAATTAGCCAGATGTGGTGGTGTATGCTTGTAATCCCAGCTACTTGGGAAGGTGAGATGCAAGCATTATTTGAGCCCAGGAGGCAGAGGCTGCAATGAGCCAAGGTCTTGCCACTGCACTGCAGCTTGGGCAACAGAGCCAGACTCTGTCTCAAAAAACAAAAATAATTTTAAAAATAATATAAATAATTTCTCAATGATATATTTTACACTCCTAAATTATATTAACTTGCATAAATTTTTATTAGCTGAAAAATAAGTTTCCATAAAAGGATAATGGGACCACAATGTTGGTTTAAATGAATCTGAATCTCTGGGACCTGGGTACCTTGGATGGGGGAACTCCAACTAAGAATATCTCCCATGATTTACTTCTAAGTATATAAATAAATTAAAGCTTTTTCCTCAGATGTCATTGAAAAAATAAATGTTTATATAAAATAAAAATATTTAATGTTCAGTTATTGCTAACATATGTCATATTGCTTTATATACTTTTTCATAAGGGTAATTCTATAATTTTTCAACCATTCTTCCTCGGTTGAATGACACTTTTAATTGTGTACTTGCTCATTTGGGTTTTTAATGTAAAATAAATAGATGATACTTTAAATAATTAAATAGAATTCTGCCACTCATTATTGAGCTTAACAGTTGTGTTGCCTTATTTGGATAGATCACTTTTTTAGTGTTCAGAGATAGATTGACTTGGGAAATATCTAAGTTCCAGCCAATAGTCATTTTGGGAAATACTTTGTACTTAAGAGAAGTAAGAGTTGCAAATTACTTAAGAAATTAATGAATGTGTATTACGGATTTAAAAAATCATAATTTTAAAACTATTTTACCTAAGTCCAGTTTATTGAAAAAATTTTTGTATATTCACCACTTTTTATTCCATAAGATTCATGCCTTAGTGCACATTAATGTCTACCTTTTAAAAGGCAGTTTATTTCCATTGCTACCTTGTATAATGGGAGGTCAGATGAAGTATTTGCATGTGGTAGCAAGTGCTGTGGTATAAGTCTTTTGTTTATTCAAAAAGTGTGAATAAACCAGTCACCATGGCAGTCATTGGGAATACAAATTTCAAAAGAATCCACTTCCTTAAATAACTTTGAGTTTGATGCTGAGAATTAAGATTGTCCCACAAAATATCACAATAAACTTACAAAGAAGCTGTGCTTTTTTCTTTACTGGGGGAGGGGGGAAAAGAAGATTCAAGGGGAAGGGAGCAACACACTATTTTAAGTGTGGTAAAATAATATCAAAATTGAAGGCTTAGAATAATTTATTTCCAAAATTGACCAGGCAAGTTAATATTTAAAATGGATTGACTAATTTTAATAAGTGGGAACATGTTCTTCCCCACATCCCGTGAACACCAGTATCCTTTCAAGTATATATACCAAGGGCCACAGAGATTAATTTTTCATAGGATATTTTTGTCTTTGTCCCAAAATATTATTTTGTGAATCAAAAATATAATTATTTGTTAATAACATGTCTTAGATTGAAACTAATTTTGGCCACAAATTATACATTATGCTATCTGGGCTTTGACCTCAATGCTTGGAGCCAGAGTTGAAGCAGAGCCCTCCTGCTGAATGTGATCGGGCTCTCTCCTCTACTCCAGTCGATAACCCTATATATCTGGATACATTTCTTGACTCCATTATCTACTTCAAATGCTCACATTCAATCAACCATCATATGTAACACTGCCATATGTTTCTTTGTCTCATGAGTGTCCAAAGCTCTCCATCCCCAGTAGTATCACTACTGTAGTTCTGCAACTTATCATTTTCTCTCCTAGATTTCCACTGCAGCCTTTATTCCATTTCTACTGCACACGGGTTGGTGCCAGTATGGAAAGCCCTGGAGGCTTGCTACTTTGGTCAGGTTCCTTTAAACCAAAAAGGCCTACACTCGAGGGCCTTCCAGCTTGTTGGCATCTGATATGACTGTCTTCTCAGTCAAGAATTAAAGCCTTATTAAATCTTTACATTCCAAATCTCAGACAACAGGCCTTGAAGTAATTAACAACATATCTTTTTTTTTCCTTTTGAAGTATAGTTACTTCACCTGTTACTTGTGATAAGGTAGAATCTTCATATTTAACAATTAATAAAAAAGAAATCACATAATACTTACGAAGTGCTAATTTCTGCAGGTGATATTATGAAGGCATTGATTGTATACTGAACAGGATAACTTTCATTTGACAGAAGCATAAAGTATCTCCTATAAGAAAAACAGTATTAAATAGAAGGAAGCCAGCACACACACAGCAGCAGCCTGGGATCTGGCGAGGCAGCACATTAACAGCATGGAGTCAGCCTCAGCATGCTGTGAACATATTCATAGCAGCCTCATGAAAGCCCCAGGACTGCTGGGCCAGCAGCTGCTCACCAAGGAAGCTCCTGTTATTATAGGGCAATCTTTTTCAGTTATCCATATAATCTTTTTATAGCACGGGGCTCCATTGCCACAAGGGTTCATCACCAGTAAGGGACTGATTGAGCAGAGAACTACTAAACATAAATAGCACCTAGTTAGGTGGACACACAGAGCCATGAAAAAAGCAATCCTGTATATCAATATAGCAAGCATGTTTCTATTTACATCCAAATCCAATCATGGCAAAGATGTCTGAACAATGCAAATTAACCAGAAAATACATTTTTAAACCCTTAAGAAATAAATACATACAATAAGATGATTCAAAAAATAATTATTTTAAAGCACACTTCATCACACACTTCCTGTCACTCTAAAGAAAAGATAAATTGTATTCCTGAATACTTTATGATGCCTTTCTCAGTCAAGAGAAAACAGGATATATTTTGCAAATTTAGCGTAAGATTAACTAATACTTTTAGAAATGGAAAGAAATCAGGAGATTTCTTTCCCTGATGTTCCATAGATTATCTAGGTGACTTGACACAAGTCACTTATATGTAAAATGAAGATAATAGCTGCTCTACACTGATTACCTCAGAATTGTTTAGAGAGCAAATGAAATCATACAGATGAAGCCCATTATATTTTATAAAGAGCTATAAAAATATAAGGTTTTAATACATGGCTATAACTAAAGTAATCCCCTGATCCTTTTAGAACAATTATCTATATTTGTATTTCTGGGATAACATATAATTAATGTACAGTATAAGACTAAATAAACATTTTATAATATTTTTCAATTTTAGAAGCTAAGGAATACCACCTATGTATACACCAAATACACTTGGTTTTTGAAAAATATATATAGCCTTCTTTTTGCTTCCATCATATAAAATCCTTATATTTTGACTGCTTCATATGCATATGTTATTGTTTTTGTAGTGCCTGTATTTCCAAGTCTGACTACATATCAATCTCATGTTCTCACTAATTTACCTTAAAATATTCTCTTTAAAAATCTGCACAATTAAATTTTGTATTTTTGTCTCAACATAATGGTTAACTCTCTTGATGTTAATTTTATAACCTACAAATGAATCCAAACATATATGTTTCTTTTTATAGCCCTGCATACATTAACCAATTTTCTAGAATATGCTAGGTGAAACTGACATTTTTGGAATAAACTGCCATAAGAGGGATTATTATAAGTATCTCTGATGTACACGTACACACCTGTACATGCACACACACACCCACGCACACGCACACATACACACCACAGAGAAGAAAGGGTGTGATCCAGCTCTCTTTCCAAATGTGCATCCAGTTAGCATTGCATCTAGCAATGCTCCGTCTCATAAGCTTATTGTACACAAAGGACAATCCAGAAAATTTAATTTAATTTTTAAATTAAATCTTGATTTCTATTTAATTGCACACTACACCTTCTTCAGTGCTGAAACATAATGAGCAGGAAGCAATTTCAAACGTGCTTAAAGGTCTTCTACTGCTCCAATGTGGAACTAGTTTCCATAGCAACTGGCATACCACCCTCTATTTATTCCAAATAAATGACAAATCAGAAGTGCAGCTGTAATATCGGGGGATTCCATTTCTCCCAACACAATATAAAGCTACACATACATCTACTAGTATGGTTGCTGCTTGCTATAACCTAATAAGTGAAAAAAGGAGGCTTCAAAACACAGTCTGTGGCAGCAGCTTTCTGCAGTGTGACGTCCATTATAGTAACCTTGACTTCTAATTCTGGAAAACGTCCTTGGATGAGAAAGCAAAACAGAAGGCATTATTTTAGATAGTTTACACTGTAAATGAGATTTGTTTGTCTTAACCTAAGAAGCAAATCAGATTCCAAATTACATCATCTAATAGCTACTGCTGCTAGATGCCCTCATTAGGATTATTAATCTGGAAACCCAACATCTGCAAAATGCTAACCTGGCCTATTAAGCTAAACAAAAGCTTTAAGGATCAGCTGATCCCATTTTGTCATCTTCATCACGCTTTCTGTTAAATGAGTCTAACACAGAAAATAGGAAGAGAGGTTGGTGAGAGGCCATCAAGCTGGTCAGTGACAGAACAGGTGAGTATCAGTCCTATCTCATGGAAAATCTGCTCTCCCACACACGCATGCACATGAAATCCTTGCCTTTTGTGTGCAAACACACCCACACCCACCCACACACACACACACACCACACACACACTATCTCTCTCTCCTTTTGAACACCTGAGCTATAGTGCTTGAGAAAAAAAAATATCTGGACCTTTTAATTTGTAAGTCTCATAAAATCTAAATGTTATAAATGTTCAAAGCATACTTTGAAACAGAAAATGAAAATAAATTTTACACCATTTTCTCATAAAAGCTGACAATATATACTCAGAAATATTGGCATCTTTATTCGTTGAAAAATATGCTTAAAGATTTTAGGTATAAGTCACCAGCATAATTCTGATGAGATTGTTTGTGACCAGTTATTACCAAAAAAATATATTTTTCATTTACAAATTGGAAAGATATAATTATTAATTAAATGCTAATTAAAACATACACACACACACACACACACACACACACATAAACCCACATACTCATGCGTTTTTGTTGCAGTTTATCAGCAATGAAAGCTAGGGGCCTCCAGAAGAGTTCGAGTCTGTGGCCTGTTATCTTCTGCCTGTTCATACACTGCGAAATGTGCTACATTCTGGTGTCAGCCATATATCACTATGTTCATTTTGCCCATTGTGTGTCTGCAAGACTGTCCTTTGTTCATATGCACAGACGAATTAATGGAGCTATTTTACCAATGGACTATTAATCCCTTTATAAGTTTTCAGCATTACTGTTCTTTGACACTCTCACTTGTTTTTATCACAGCAATAAATGCAGAAAATCTAGAGAGAACATAGTCCATTTTGAGATTCTTTAGAAATGATTGTCAAAAGTCCTAAATATGCTAAAACATATATTTCTTCATAAACAGTAGTTAGAACAAAATACCCTTTACTTAAAAATGAAGATAGTACATAAAGCCATAAGCTCATATTTAGCAAAGCCTCTCATCAAGACTTGGCAGAATATCGACTCTATGCTAATACGTCATTAAATATTGATTTATTGCTAAAACAGTGTGTTAAGATTTAATCAAATAGCAACAGATAAATCAAGTTGCCATGTAATTAACTAAAAATTACGTAAGCATCCAATACTTACATTTAGCAAAATCTTGTTTTTAATTAACCACCTACACCTATATTAAATTTAATGAAAATGATATAAAATTCTAGACTTGGCTATTTTACAAGAGCAAAACTGAAAGTTACCTTTGAGTTGTCTATTTTTAATGGAATGAATGTAAACAAGATTGTAGCGGGCATATTTAATTAACACAATGAAAGAGGTTTTTATTTAGTAAATGAAGCAAATTTTACATGCAAAGAGTTGCTGCTGCCCATGGATTCAGTTTACAGCCCTGAACAACTGAGGCTTTTGGAGTCAGTTCTTGCTCTGACACTAAGAGGCTTGGTTTGTTTGAGCAAGTTCTTTAACATCTTGTTATTAGTCCCCTGCTCTAGAACATGGGGCAAGAAATGTCTGTTACAGTGTTACTGTTATGAGTAAGTGAGGAAACTGAGTGAAGCAGCTTCACAGTGCCTGGCACGCTGTGGGCAATTAATGAGGTTCTTTGTCTGTCTCCTGCCTTCTTCAAACACAACCGTAGGCCTGGCCAGAATTTTAAAGTTACTGAAATTTATTCTTCCTAATTTTATACCTGGTCCCTTCTCCATTAGCTGTCCTGCTATTTCTCCTGTTCTATCCCATCCTCAAAGATTCTTTCTCCTTAAAATTCATTCATAGGCTTCATAGTCTATGGGACATGGAGGAAGTAAGGAGATGTTTTTGTTTTTTAACAACAAATTTAGACTTATATAAATTTTATAAAAATAAATTCAAGTAATACTAAGGTTTATGAAGTAAAATGTTCATATTCTTATTATACTTGCTCTTTATCATGATTATATAAGTACATAGTTTGAAAAATTTAAATTAAGTGTATGACTAAAAAGAGTCAACTTTGCTGAATATATATATAAATATATATATAATCTTCCTGTGTATTTGCCATAAGCAATGATTTTCAGCTCTTTAATTCCTCCATTTATTTACTGCCATGCTGTTCACAATTGTGCTTCCATTGTCATCTTCATCTTTTTAGTTTTCGATATTAACATATTGATTCCTTACTACAAAACATGAAGATGTAGATGTCTATTTTACTTCCTATACACAGACATACACATCTTCTCTGTCCAACCTCCAAAGTATTTACTGCACTTTTGGTGAATTCAATACTTAGCATTTATTATTTAATGTTTATACAACTTTTTGTTGTCATGGGGATTTAACATTGTATCTTTTTTGCTTTGCCTATTTACTATGTCAAATACATCAAGAAAATGATTTTGTTTTTCTTGGAGATGTCTTTTCTGGAGGCTCTTGCTTCCTGTTTAAGTCTGGATGGGACCCGTGTCTCTCCAAGCTAGATGCATACTTGCCGAGGTGCTGCAGTAACCACCACTGACGCGCACCACTGAGGTGCTTCATCCCTGTGTGGGATTCCTCTCTTTGTCTCTCCCATGATTACGTTACATTGTATAAGACTCTTCCTTGCTAGTAGACCTGCTCTTGAGTTTCTCCATGCTGTGTGAAGAAGAGGCAGTGCTGGAAAAGCTCATGTGGCTAGGGCAGGGTTAGGGTGAGGGTTAGGGCCCGTTTGGAACTGGGCTGCACAGAGGAAGGTGAGTGGCAGGCGAGAGAATATTACTGCCTAAGCTCCACCTCCTGTCAGATCAGCAGTGGCCTTAGATTTTCACAGGAGCGTGAACCCTATTGTGAACTGACCCACACATGTGAAGGATCTAGGTTGCACGCTCCTTATGAGAATCTAATGCCTGAAAACAGTTTCATTCATTTCCCACCGCCCCCAACCCCCCGCAAGATCCCACACCTCTAAACACCCCCATCCATGGAAAAAATGTCTTCCACAAAACCAGTTCCTGGTACCAAAAAGGTTAGGAACCTCTGGGCTAGGGATTATGGTAGCCTTTAGGAGCTTATGTAAGTCTCTGGTCAACAGTCAATATCCTCGGTTCTACAACTGTAAGTGAGGAATTCTACCAACAATGTTAGTGTGTTTGGAAGCACAGTCTTCCTCAGTCAAGCCTAGGGATATAAATACAGCCTAGCTAACATTTTTTTTTTTAAGACAGGGTATTGCTTTGTCACCCAGGCTGGAGTGCAGCTGTGCAATCATAGCTCACTAAAGCCTGGAACTTCTGGGTTCGAGCAATCCTCCTGCCTCAACATCCTGAGTAGCTGGGACTACAGGTGAGTCCCACTACACCCATTTCCAACTGACATCTTGATTGTAGCCATATTAGACCCTAAACTGAGGATCCAGCCATGCCATGCCAGGACTCCTGACCCACAAAATCTGCAAAATACCACATATGTGTGCTTTTAGCTAGTAAGTTTGTAGTGATTTGTTAGCAGTATAGAAAATGAATACTTCTTTTCTTTCCAAATTATCTTTATTTGTCCATTTTGACACCTACACTCAAATTAAAGGATTTTTTTCTCAAATATCACATGATCCTCAGCTATTTTCTTATATTTAATCATTCCCCAAAAAGATGAGAGAATTTGCACATATAAAGTTTTTGGAAGGTTTGACACCATGTTCTCACCACCACCCTAGAGCTAGGGAGATGGCTCTATCCAGGAATAAAACACTGGTTTGTTCAAGCGGGATACTATGTGATACTAACTTCTCACTTCTATTTCAAGATTAATCCATAGAAGTAATAGAATAAAGTATCAACTCTGTATTAAAGCACCTCTAACTAAGATGCCAGGAGAAAGCACTTTAGGCTGTGCAATATCAAGGCCGCATCCTAATCAGCATTGTCCTTACTTATCCTAAAAATTGGCTAAATCTTTCAGCTTGAAAATTCTTTTAGTCAGTATTCGATAAAGTATGATTCAGTAACAAATTAAGTAGCTTAACACTACAAAACATTACAAAAGATTAATTCTCATGGACACATTATCTGATATAGGTGAGGTGATATGATGGGTCAGTAGTTTTCTATGTATGAAATATTCATTTCTTGTTTGTGGAAATATATATGATACAGATGTTTTGGAAAACAGTTGACAGTTTCTTATAAAGATACTTTTTTTGTGAGTTTAAAAAAAGCAGACTCCTAGCAATGACTCAAGAAAAATGTGTAACAAAAAGACTTGTCCACAGAAAGACTTTTTTATATGATGTCCATGGAAGTTTTGTTTACAATAGTCAAACTTGCAAATAAACCAAATGTTTGTCAACTAATCAATGAATTATTCATACAGTGGAATATAGAACTCCACAATAAAGAGGAACATACCACAGATACATATAAAAATAGGAACGGGCCAGGCACGGTGGCTCACGCCTGTAATCCCAGCACTTTGGTTGGCTGAGGCGGGTGGATCACAAGGTGAGGAGATCAAGACCATCCTGGCTAACACAGTGAATCCCTGTCTCTACTAAAAATACAAAAATTAGCTAGGCATGGTGGCACGTGCCTGTATTCCCAGCTACTTGGGAGGCTGAGACAAGTGAATCACTTGAACCAGGGAGTTGGAGGTTGCAGTGAGCCGAGATCATGCCACAGCATTCCTGCCTGGCGACAGAGCGAGACTCTGTCAAAAAAAAAAAAAAGGAATGAATCACAAAAGAATTATGCTAAATAAATGTGAAAAGGCAACTACAAAAGATTATATGCTTTATGATTTCATTAAATTAAATTCTATAAAAGGCAAAAGTATAGTGACAGCTGATTAGTGCTGCCCGGGGCCATGGAAAAGGGAAGAGACTGACTGCAAAGGAGATCATGGAAACTCTTTGAGATGATGCAAACATCCTATATCTTGATAGCTGCGATGGGTACAAGGATGTAGACATCGAATTTTACACTGAAAGTCATGGAGGCTGAGGTGCAGTGTCTCAAGCCTCTAATCCCAGCACTTTGGGAGGCCAAGGTGGGGTAATTGCTTGAGCTCAGGAGTTTGAGATCAACCTGGGCAACATGGCAAAAGCTTGTCTCTACAAAACATACAAAAATTAGCCAGGCATGGTTGTGCACACCTGTAGTCTAGCTATTCAGGAGGCTGAGGTGAGAGGATGACTTGAGTTCAGGGGGCAGAGGTTGCAATGAACTGAGATCACACCACTGCACTCCAGCCTGGGTGACAGAGCAAGATCCTGTCAAAAAAAAAAAAATTAAAATTAAAAAAAGAAATCCTTGAATTTCGGGGTGAAAAGTCTTAAAGGATAGCAGATTTTAATCTTTTTTCCATTCTAAAAGTCTACATATCCCTACACATGTAGACTCAGGCAACAGGGTGAACACAGAATTCAGCCTGCGCACTTTGTTCCCCAAAGTAGCAAACAGATAAGAAGCAATTCTCACACACGTGGCATGGTGACAATGGCTGGGAAAGAAGTACTTTATCTTGAGAGCAGCTTGGAGTGGGGATACTCAGATAATGTTTCAGTGGAGGCTCCTTTAGACCAATTTCTGAGCCTTCAAAAGAAGAGCACAAGAATAAAGAAGAGAAATTGAGAAAGTGATGAAGTTCTAGAGCTATAACTGGACAGTGTAAAGAAAAATGTATTATGTTATTACAGAACCTTTTTCTTCCAGTCTGGTGTAGCCTTGGAAACAAAAACCTATTAAAGTGCATTCATTGATTTTTTAAATTATGAAATGAGGACGTTACTTTTAATGTCTAAAACACTAATTTTATTAAAGTTTAATTACTGTAGTGACTACTACAGCAGAATGTAGTTATAGGCAAAAATGTTGCCTACTCAGCAGGTGCTGTTTTCCGGGGGATGAAAAAAATCTCACACCTCAGTTGCTCTGAATAAATACTTCAGGGGTGCTACAGTGTCATCTTTTAGTGATTGATGCAATCAATGTTTCTTCCTAATGTTTCCAATTAAGATAAGTTGTCATCCAGATTTGTTTCAGCTTTTAATTAGCATGCCAGAGCTGTCTTTAGAGTAAAATTCTGAATGTATGTTTTTGAAGTAACTTTAAAAACTTAAGGTGTTTTACAAAGAAAGAAAATGTGGCATTTATTTTTAAATTATGACATAATGATATGAATAACTATTTACAGAGATGATATATAGAGAAGACTTAAAAATTTTTTTATTTCAATAGTTTTGGGGGAATAGGTGGTTTTTGGTTACATGAATAAGTTCTTCAGTGGTGATTTCTGAGATTTTGGTGCACCCGTTACCTGAGCAGTATATACTGTACCCAATGTGTCGTCTGTTATCGCTCACCCCACTCCCACCCTTTCCCCGGAGTCCCCAAAGTCCGTTGTATCATTCTTATGCCTTTGCATCCTTGTAGCTTAGCTCCCACTTATAAGTGAGAACATACAATATTTGGTTTTCCATTACTGAATAACTTCACTTATAATAATGGCCTCCAACTCCATCTAGGTTACTGCGAATGCCATTATTTTGTTTCTTTTTATAGTCAAGTAGTATTCCATGATGTATATATGTATATATTACATTTTCTTTATCCACTGATTGGTTGATGGCCATTTAAGCTGGTTGCATGTTTTTGCAATTGTGAATTGTGCTGCTATGAACAAGTGTGTGCAAGTGTCTTTTTTCACATAAGTGACTTACATAAGATACATTTCTATTCTACACATAAAATTACCTAATATCGGCTGGGTGCCATGGCTCACGCTTGTAATCCCAGCACTTTGGGAGGCCAAGGTGGGTGGATCACGAGATCAGAAGTTAGAGACCATCCTGGCCAACATGGTGAAACCCCGCCTCTACTAAAAATACAAAAATTAGCCGGGCATGGTGTCACACACCTGTAATCCTAGCTACTTGGGAGGCTGAGGTAGGAGAATTGCTTGACCCCAGGAGGAGGAGGTTGCAGTGAGCTGAGATGGTGCCACTGCACTCCAACCTGGGAAACAGAATGAGCCTCTGTCTAAAAATAAATAAATAAATAAATAAATAAATAAATAAATAGATAGATAAATAAAATACCTAATATTTTCATTAGAGCAAGAACACAATAAATCTAACCCTTAAAAGTTAATAATTAAAAAATCTGTTATTTTAGCTTTAGAGGTACATGTGAAGGTTTGTTACATAGGTAAACTCATGTCACAGAGATCTCTTGTACAGATTATTTTGTCACCCAGGTACGAAGCCCAGTACCCAATAGTTATCTTTTCTGCTCCTCTTCCTCCTCTCACCCTCCACTCTCAAGCAGGCCCCAGTGTCTATTGTTCCCTTCTTTGGTTCATGAATTCTCATCATTTAGCTCCCACTTATAAGTGAGAAAATATGGTATTGGTTTTCTGTTCCTGCATTATTTTGCTAAGGATAATAGCCTCCAGCTCCATCAATGTTCCCAAAAAAGACATAACTCTTGTTCTTTATTTGGCTGCATAGTATTCCATGGTGTATATGTACCATATTTTATTTTATGGGCATTTAGGTTGATTCCATGTCTTTGCTATCATGAATAGTGCTGCAGTGAACTTTCACATACATGTGTCTTTATGGTAGAATGACTTACATTCCTCTGGGTATGTACCTAGTAATGGAATTGCTGGGTGGAATGGTAGTTCTGCTTTTAGCTCTTTGAGGAATTACCATACTGTTTTCCACAATGGCTGAACTAATTTACACTCCCACCAACAGGGTATAAGAGTTCTCTTTTCTCTGCAACCTCAGCATCCGTTATTTTTTGACTTTTTAGTAGCCATTGTGACTGGTGTGAGATGGTATCTTGTTGTGGTTTTGATTTGCATTTCTCTAATGATCAGTGATACTGAGCTTTGTTTCATATGTTTGTTGGCCACATGTATGTCTTCTTTTTAAGAGTGTCTATTCATGTCCTTTGCCCACTTTTTAATGGGGTTGTTGGTTTTTCTCTTGTAAATTTGTTTATGTTCCTTATAGATGCTGAATATTAGACCTTTATCAGATGTGTCATTTGCAAATATTTTCTCCCATTTTGTAGGTTGTCTGTTTACTCTGTTGATAGTTTCCTTTGCTGTGCAGAAGCTCTTAAGTTTAATTAGATCCCATTTGTCAAGTTTTGCTTTTTTGTGATGGTTTTTCGTGTCTTTGTCATGACATCCTTTTCAGTACCTATACCCAAAAGTTATTCATTATGTAAGAGTTTACTAATATGTTTTCCTTGAATCCCCTAAAATAGGTTGCAAAGCTATATATATGAATACATTTTTCTCACGTAAAAGAATTTCAGTATTGCTGGTGATATTTGAGTCTTGAAGGTGTCTGCGACCTAAAGACAATTAGCATTTGCTAATAACAAAATGAGAAACTACTTTAAGTGTCATCTTTATTTATATCAATCAACATTTTGTGCCTTGGTGCTAAAAGGATCTGGAACATTACCTAAAACGTAAGTGTGACTTTAAATTTAAACCTATTCACTGGTCCCAATAATAAAATATATAATAATAACAGCAAATATTTTATAGCAACTACCATCTGCCAGACAAGGTCCTAAGTATTTCATACATAGAATCTCAGCTACCTGCTGCAATAACCTTATGGAGTAGGTGTATAATCATCATGCTTCTCAGATGAGGACATTAACATTTGAGTGGCTCGCCAAGATGAGGCAGCTAGCAGGTGTCACAGCAGTAGTGTTAGAGCCAGGAGTCAAATCCTTGCTCCAGAGGCTGCTTTGAACCAGCACATACAGTTGTCTTTTAAACTATGTATGCTTTCAAAAGTATTCCTTTCAAAAATTCATACTATGAAAAGTTTACTTTACATGTATTTTTAAAATCAATTTGGTCATCAGAATGCAATCTACCTGGGTTAATGTCATAACACGTATTATCACTTATACTGACAAGCATTCTCAGCTTCAGTAATCAACTCTGATGTTGTTGAAAAAAAATTAAATATATATTTATATTGATTTTTAAATATACCTCTGTTAGGAAAAAATGGAATGAAGTGATTCTTTATATGACTCTTCTACTTCTTTGCATTGTAGTATAGCCATAGGATAATCTGGATTGATCCTTTATTTTGGTAGTAAGTTGCACATTTGCAAACAAGGTAATAACTATGTAAAGTTCTCCTATAACTTTTTATATGTCTTTAAATTATTGTTGTTTTTCACTTGTTCTGTAAGAGCCACATTATTTAATTTCCCTTACATTTAGCTTAATAATGACTATATCCTTGAACTGATGATAATATTTTAGGGATAAGGCAGCTATTTTAGAGCTCCAAATGACATTATGTGCAATGAGAAAAGCTTTGGCCAATATTAATCTTCATAGGGCTGGGTATCCTTCTACAGTAGAAGCTGAAATATTCATTCCTCTATAAAAATTGTTTCATATGTTAAGTATCTACTTATACAACAGTAATATAGTATGTAGCTAAGAAATGCTTTCTGGTTCCTATACAAAAAGACTTAAAAGATTTTTACTTTAAATTTTTGTTGTCTGAAGGATAAGTTATAACATCTTGAGGATTTCTTTGTGTTTGAGACATCATAGAGAGCATTTCTTATCACTGAGCAATATTTTATAGAGCTTGAATTGATAGAGAATTTAGAATTTTGGTCTTAATTTTTTTTAATCACCATTTTAAGTGAGTTGAATAATGAGAAGACAGAATTTTTTTTCTTTTACTCAAAACTTTTTTTTTTAAGACATAGGGTCTTTTTCCTATCACCCAGGCTGGGCTGGAGTGCAGTGGCACAATCACAGCTCATTGCAGCCTCTAACTTCTGGGCTCAAGCCATCCTCCCATCTCGGCCTCCCAAAGTGCTAGCGTTACAGGTGTGAGCCACCACACCTGCCAAAAATCTCGTGAAGTAATGTTAAAGAAATCCTCACACAATCTAAAATACTGCAAAATTGTGGTGTTCTAATTTATAAAACTATAGAGGTTGAAACAAGAGGATGGACGAGACTATAGATTTTCTCAGGTAGACCAGGGTCTAGAAATCACAGATGTAGTCAGGGTCAGTGGCTCATGCCTGCAATCCCAGCACTTTGGGAGGCAGAGGCGGGTGGATCACAAGGTCAGGAGATTGAGACCATCCTAGCCAACATGGTGAAACCCCGTCTTTACTAAAAATACAAAAATTAGCCGGGCATGGTGGCGGGTGCCTGTAGTCCCAGCTACTCTAGAGGCTGAGGCAGGAGAATGGCGTGAACCCAGGAGGCAGAGGTCGCAGTGAGCCGAGATCGCGCCACAGCACTCCAGCCTGGCGACAGAGCGAGACTCCGTCTCAAAAATAAAAAATAAAAAAAAATTAAAAAAAAATAAACAGAAAAGAAAAAGAAATTACAGATGCTCCTCAATTTACAATGGGGTAATGGGGTAATGTCCTGATAAACCCATCATAAGTTGAAAATATCACGTTGGAAATGCATTTCACACCCTTAATCTACCAAATAGAAAAGCCTTAAACATATACAGAACAGTTATATTTAACCTACAGTTGGGCAAACTCTACTGGCCACATAGCCCACTGCAGAATATCAGTTGTTCTGGGAGTTGCAGGTTATCGCCGTGGCCCAGCATTATGAGAGTGTATCCTGTCACATGTTGCTCCCAGGAAAGGATCAAAATTCAAAACTTGAAGTACAGTTTCTACTGAAAGCATATTATTGTTGAATCATCATAAAAATCCTAAGTTGAAGTATCATAAATTGAGGACCTTCTGTAATGAAACTTTAAATGTGTGTAATTCTAATATATATCAAATTTTCAAATGAAAATAATAGCTATATACATGTGTATATTTTGTTAATTTATCAGAACCACTGACCTGGTCCAGTTTTTTCATTATATAAGAACACATACAATTCAAGAGAAGTTAAATGACTTTTCTCATAAGTAAAGAAGGACTGGATCTAAGACTAGTAGGTTTTTTTTTTTTCCAAATTTGCAGGTCTATCTGTATATCAGTAATTTCTCACTGTTACATTTTTAATTTCTATATATAATATTTGGACTTGCACTTTCTGCAGAATTCTGCAATTTGTTATGCTTGATCTCAAAATGATTTTAATCATAGTATTTTATGACCGAGTCTTTGACTTACTTTAAATATTTTTATCATGGAGAAAATAACCTAATTATATTGATTTTATAAAGTATCATTCATTTAGTTTTTCCTGGATGTCATACTTTAAAAGTAATAGGATAAAGTTTTATTTGGCATAGAACAAAATTGCCAATTTGAAAAGAGTATTAAAATCCTTTGACATTTTAAAATTTGAAATGATCCTGAAAATCAAAATTGCTTCTCGTAGTTTCGGCCAATATCAAGAGACTTCCTGGAGTGTGATGAAGTAGTTGTGTCATCTGAGTTTCACTTATTCATCTCATCTTATTTGATCTCACTATTGCTATAAACTTTAACCTCGAAAAATTCTCATCTATATCCACATAATTCTTATTCTTTTAAGTTTTATGCCACTTTACAGTACATGATAGCTTTAAGTGGGTTTTGATACATTAAGAGAGAGATAGTTAAGCCTGAAATGTGAAGGCTTCATCATAAAAGATTATTATCCTCAAGGTACTAAGGGAGAAATTGTTATATATTGTACTACTGTTGAGGGAGAACTCTAAATGTAGAGGACACTTTGAAAAACATCCCAAACTCCATCTCATGGTGCATGCAGCTCATCAGTAACTTGGCACTGACCCTTATCCCTTCTCAAGTCCTGCCTCTCCCATTTTCTTCATTTTACATTCTGTATTTCAGTCCATAGTTGTTGACAAAATTGATTTCACTTTTCTTACCATTAGCATGATACTGCACCTACCAAATGATTTTTTACTCTTCTATTTATATGCCAATCTTCTCATTAGACCTAATTTAAATTCAGAGACTAAATTGTGTTGTCTATTCCTTCCTGACCACATTCCAGGTTACAGGACGGTGACTGCCACACAGTAAGTGCTCATTAGTTAGAAACTGAGTGTCTTAGGAAGACTATAGTTAGAATTTTACCAGAATTCATACTATGAAAAGATTACTTGGATGAAGGGGTGAAAGAGGACAGGTTTTAGAAAATGAGAAAAAGTCTTGTTGTAGAAAATAATGTGTGTGTTATGCTTCAAATGACGAATAGGACGTTCGTGGAATAAAATGCTAGAAAATGGACTTAAAAGGAAATATTGAACAAAGATAAATAATCAAGAAAGCATGTATAAGAAAGAAGAATTACTCCTATCCAGCTAGAATAGCAGGAAGAAAGTGAAAGGCAAAAAGGTCAAGACTATACTTTAGAACACTCTGGGGTTTAAGAGTTAGGATTTATTTTGTAGGTAACGTAGTAATTGTATTTGGATATTGCATAAGCATAAATGAAAAACCATTGAAGAATTAGTCTACCATTTTTTTAAATGTAAAAGGAGGATAATTAAAACAGCATCTAACAGAATGCCTTGCATACAGTAGGAACTCAACGTATTTTTGTTGAACACTGAATGAATCAATGACCCGTATTTCAGAAAAAATAATTTTTGCCGAATGTGGAGTAAGGAGGAAAATTGAGAGGCTATTAACAATAGTTAACCTGGATTCCATCTTCATCCTAAAGAAGGTAATAGCAAAATGGACTATACACTTTTAGTAATCAGCATGAGTCAATTCCCATCAACAGAAGGTGTTATGAACTAAATGTGTACCCCCAAAATTCATATTGCTGAAGCCCTAACCCCCAGATGATCATATTAGAAAGTGGGGCCTTTGGCAGGTAATTAGGTTTAGATGAGGTCTTGGAAGTGTGGCCCTCATGATGTGATTAGTGTCCTTAGAACAAGAGGAAGAGACACCAGAACTTCTCCTTTAAACCACTTGAGGACACAGTGAGAAAGGCGCTATATACGCAAGTCAGCAAGACCTCACCAGACTTCGACCATGCTGGCACCCCGATCTCAAACTTCCCAGCATCCAGAACTGTTGTTTAAGCCACCTGGTCTATTTTGTTACAGCATCTTTCTATGGTCTGAATTTTGGTCACCCTCCCCCCAGAGTAAGCTTTTACCAGACACCAAATCTGCTAGTGCCTTGACCTTGAAATCCTCAACTTCCAGAACTGTGAGCAATACATTTCTGTTGCTTATAATGTACCCTATCTAAGGTATTTTTTATGGCAACCCAAAAGAACTAAGACACAGCTTAAACTAACTAAGACGCAAGGATTACTGGGCTTGCAAAAATGTGGAACAGGTATTAGCCATGAACATGCATAAAAATGTTCAGGCCTGTCTGGCCCATAAAATCTATATCACTTATGAATAGAAATGTATTTGATTGACTTGCTCCCTTTTCATCTTTTTGGATATGCAATGCTTACACATAAGAGGAATATAAATATTACATACTGTTTTTTGGTCTTTTTTAACTTCACTTCAGTTGTCTCTTCAATAGAATTTAGATACAATTTCAGTACAATCATTGTGTGTGTCCTTGACCAGCCATTCTATCATATCGATTTACTGGAAATAAGTTGCATTTATATTCTTTGTTATTTATGTTTGACACATTCCCAAGTTAGTTGGATTAGGAAAGAATTCACTTATCACTTCTGAGTTAATGAACTGGAGAAACATTTTTCTCTTTATGGTTTTAAGTCTTTCTGCCTAATTACTATTTTCCAATAAGCTAATTTGTATATGTGGCAACGTGATGATTAGGACTATACCTTTCTATATCTTTGTCCTTTATTTTTGCACGGAGGTCAATAATTCAGAAATATGATCTTTTTCTCAGACCTTCAAATTTCTCCCATGATAGGAATTTTTGCCTTTATTATTCATGTTGTATCTGTAGTCAGGTACAACTACAGATTGTAGTTGTAATAAATGAAAAAAAAGATTGTACAGAGATTCCTTATACTTATTCTACAGTTTCCCATAACTTAGTTCTCCTCATTCTTTATTGGGATGTGTGTAAGTTCAATAGTCTTCTTCCTTGGCTCCCTGTGCTCATTAGCTTTCATAACTGAGGCATAAGAATCAAGTAGACTATAGAGAGCATTGCCTCTGAAGCCAAATATTCTGGGTTACTATTTTGTTTCTGCTACTTTCTATGTCTAGAATGAAGCCATTTCTAGACCTCTTTGGAGCTAAGTTTCTTTACCTCTAAAAAGTGGATTACAATAGTACCCTTCTCATAGGGTTTTTGTGCAATTAAATGAGTTCCAATGTATGAAGCGCCAAGAACTATGCTCTGTGTTTACTATTAATGTGACTCTGAGATTTCTCTGTCATCAATGTTTTATCTCCTTTTTGTTCATTTTCTTAGATACTTCTTATACTTCTGTTCTTTCAGATTTAACTTTCATGCTAATAATTCTCAAAGCATTTTTCTAACTCCACCTCATAGGTTGGCTACAATCCATATTTCTACCTAGAATATCTTGACTGAATTCTGAAATTTAGTATGCTTACAGTTGGCAAATTATTCCTAACCCAAGTTATGAACCTTCCCTATTTCACTGTGTTACTACCACTAAGTGTTTGATTGCTAGTTTAGAAAGCTAAAGTTATCCCCTCATGTGTTATATCAAAATTATGTTTTCCCTTCCCTCAAAGATCCTCTTATGTTCTATTTTTATATTGCCTTTTAATTAATCTTATCCTCTTCTACTTACAACATTTTATGACTGAATTTGGGAAATAGCCTTCTAAAGTTTACCTTGTTTTCAATCATCTTTCTACTTTTTGTTACCTTTCGTAACATTATTAGGTAAATTATTCTATAAAATAATATTTATTTCATAACCTGGTTGACAATGTATAATAACTTATTACCATCTAATCCTAAACCTTAGTTTGCATTAAAAGCCTTTTCCTGATTAACCACGATTTATCTACCAGTTTTATTATCTTCTTTCACTGGTAAGATTGTTCCTTCATTGTTACATATGTTCTATGTTACCCAGAAAGCTTGTTACAATGCAAACCCTTGACCCTTCCTCAGAGATTCTTATCAGTATGTAGAGCAAAGGAACCTGCAGTTCCATCCATCAAAACAATTCACTCTGTAACAGGTGATCTATGAACCACAATTTGAGAAACTGGGATTCTGCTTTAAAGATTTTTTTTTTTTTTTGAGACGGAGTCTCACTCTGTCGCCCAGGCTGGAGTGCAGTGGCACGATCTCGGCTTACTGCAAGCTCTGCCTCCCGGGTTCATGGCATTCTCCTGCCTCAGCCTCCTGAGTAGCTGGGACTACAGGCGCCCGCCACCACACCCGGCTAATTTTTTGTATTTTTAGTAGAGACAGGGTTTCACCGTGTTACCCAGGATGGTCTCAATCTCCTAACCTCGTGATCTGCCCACCTCGGCCTCCCAAAGTGCTGGCATTACAGGCGTGAGCCACCGTGCCCAGGCTAAAGATTTTTTTTAATCCTGAAATATAATATTGCGAGAGAAATTCCACAAGTTAATAAGAATTTACTCAAGATAACAAAACTCAACATGGAATTATATGTAAGTATTGTGAAATTACAAATAAAAAACATGTTAAACATATAACATTTGCCATGCTGAAGAGAGATAGAATTGAAGTCGGAAGTCTTAATTCTGTCTTCACTAACTTTGTAAACATCACTAATCATTGAAACTCTCTAAGTTATAGTCTATTAAGTTAACAAATAATCCGCCTGCAACATGTAATTGTTAAGAAGATCATATGAGAAAAAAATATATAAAATTTTATCAAAATTGCAATTTGCAATAAAAGGAATTATTTTTATAATACTGGTGTTTTGAACCCCAAAGACTTTTTGGAGTTCAGATTATGAACTTCTAAGAAGTTTATATTGATTTTTATTCAAATACATATCATTATTTTAAAATACATAGTTAATAAGTCTAGCTTCTTATTTATATACTTGGAAACAAACTATAGGGAACATTAGAGCTACAAGGATTTTCATATTTCTAACTATTATGAAGAATTATAAGCTAAAACAATAATTAAACATCTTCTTTAACATTTACTGTCTATATTGAATTTTCATTATAAGGATGCCTGCTTATTTAGCAAAATGGACTATATACTTTGAACCAATCTGGTAAATACATCAGAAAATAACTTGGAATGCACAAATTTAATTTGTTCTTGGATAATTTTGTTTCCAATAAAAATAATTTGCATCAGACTTGACTGAGAAGTGAGATTATCTTACATTTAGAAGAAAATATTTAAGAAAGCCAAATCTTTTCTCCAACTAGACGTTGTTGTGGACTTTAGAAATCTGACTTCTGTGCCTGGAAACTTTAATAGAGTCTTAGAGTGTTGTTAAACTGAAACCTGAAATAGTGAATATTTATTATGCAACAGCCAGTTGTAAAACCTGCACTCCACTACCAGGTAAGTCAAGTATAAAAAGAAAAAGTAGCTCAAAGTAATTTGCAGATTCCTCAACTGTTCCTCCTAAAATTAATTTTAAAATATAATCACTTCATCAGTGTTATTTTTATCTTAAATTATTATGTTATTTTATCCTTAATAAAATAATCTCTAAATTATATTTATACTTAACTGCAAATAAAGAACTCCACAATAAGTTAATTTCCAGTTATAAAATTGTAAGCATTTTGTTTTCTTATGCAATATTTATTTATTTATTCAATATATAATGTATGATATATCCTTGGAGCCAAGTACCATTTTGGGTAGTAATAGCACATGTCCCAGCCTAGGAATCATTATATTCAAATAGGAAATAATTAATACTAGAAATGCTATTATTCTAATAAAATATTTAGTTTGAAGAATGTCAAATGCTATGAATATTTATAGCATTTTACTTACTTTAACATCCTTGGAATAGTATTCTTAATAAATCTTCATTTACCTCCTGTTTTTTGTCCTCAAAATCTTTTTCTTCATTTTTCTTCCCCCAACCTCAATACCACATACAGTTAAAACAAATCAGAAATGAAATGATTAACAGTAAATCCCCAGGCACTAACAAGGATGTGTTTTATGATGTTACACAGGAATTGTCATGCACCTAGAGCATTCTACAAGGAAAATATCAATCAAGCCTAAGATTATAAGCTATGTTTTCTACATTATTTAAAAATATATATATAAACATAAATATCAACTATTTAAAACACATTTAAATTAAGCTATTTAAAACACTATTTTTAAAATGGCACAGCTACAGAGAGGCAAGAATCATCAAAATCCATGTATTTATTTCATGAAAAGGCATAATCCATATAATATCTAAATACTATAGTTTCTCTAGAGATACATATAAATGTCTTAAATGTAATTCTGAGTGTCAAATATCCATAAAAGATTTGGCCCCAAGCATTTTATGAGACTGTGTAATTGAATGATATTGCAATAGTCCATAGCAATGAAAGAGAAATGAGTTATACCACAATTCACTTGAACTCTTTAGTTAGAAAGCATAACAATGTAAAATGATATTAGAAACTAAAACCACAATGATTGAAACCAAATTGTCATCTACTTTAAAAGTTAGAAGACATTATATGTATATGTTGTTTTCCCATGACCTCATGCTGTCCTCTGTTTGATTAAACATTGGCATTCTCTTTCTCATCAGCAGTAACATCAAGTAACTACATAGATTTTGTATGCATGAAGAGGCAGATAAAAATTGAGTGTAAAGATCAAGGTTATGACTGTGATACGACCAAAGGAAGGACAAAAGAAAAAACAGGAAATTTTGAATTCCATTATTAATGTATGACAGTTCTGATAAACATGGATTCCCTATAATTTTTTCAAGAAATCTAATTTTTCACACTTTCTTGGTGCCAGGAGAATCTCAACCCATTTAACCATGTTCAGGAAAGAGGCACACAGTAAAACTGTAATATCATGCTTTGGAAATTAAACTGTTTAAATGTGTACCTTTGTCTGATAACTTACCTGTTGTGTGATATTGAACAGTTTACTTAAACTCAAAGTACTAAATCTTCTTCACAGAGAAGAAGAAAATGAGGTATGTTGTATTTTTAGTCACCTTTATATCCAATGGATCTTTTAGTCACCCTCCCTTTGGAAAAACTGTACATTTCCAGCCTGTTGAACTCAGGCATGACTACGTGACCTTTTATGACCAACGAAATGTGTATGGAAATGGCATGTGTATCATTTTTAAATCAGAGGAGCAGTCCAAGGTTCTCAGGGGCTCTGCCCCTCTGCCACAATGTCTGGCCATGTCCTTCAAAAAACATGGAGTGAGCCTCAGTAAGCCCATCTTGGACCCACAGCATAAGGGAGAAACCTTTGTTGATAAGCCGCCGATATGTACCAGTTCTCTGTTAGCCTGGCTGAAGCTTAACCTAATTTTCCACAGTTGAGATGGGAGTATTCACTGGTGTTGATACCAAACCCTTATGAATGCAATAAAGAACTGGAAAGGGATTGACTATACAAAAGAGATAATAATGGAAAATGAATTGGTGGAAAAATCTTATTATTTGAATAACTATAATATATTGTTTCCATGCAATCAAGCATTGCATTAATAAAGTTTGCTTTTTATCTGTTTATCCATATTGTCGCTTATTCTTTTCTCATTATATATTTCCATCTTTTATGAGAAAAAGATGCCAAATCGCTTTTAGAAAAGAAAGAAATAAATGACAAGACCATTCTAAATGTTCTTCATCCTGTTTTAATGTTTTTTAAAGCTATTTTTAAAACATGGGAATGAATCTGTTACTCCATATAGCCAAGAAATCCGATAGCCACTGAAGAATCTAAAGCAATTTGTTATTTTAATTAAAGTCATTAAAATCATAGTTGTTAACTATATTAAATCTTTTATAGATTCTTTATAGAATCTTCATGGGGTAGAGGGAAAAATCATTGAATAAATAGTACTTTTGTCAAACATATACTAGGTACTAAAATCATTTAAATAATGTATGTTAATTTTATCTGTTCCTTTAAACTATATTTGGGGATTCTTGTGTAACAGTTCTACAAGAAATATATCCATTATCTATATTAATAACCAAGAAGTTTTGGGCAATGACTATGAGCCAGAATATTGGGGCCATACAGATACCAAATGCCTCTTAAATAGGATTCAAAGTCTCGACAGAAAAGAATAACAAACAGCCACTGATGCCCCAGATATCAGAGAAATTGGCTACAGAACATTTTTTATGCCAGTAAGTAGAAAGTCATATGTTTAAGAATGATAAGTGTGAAGAAGCAAAATGCCCCAGTGTCCTCATGGATCTTCACATTCATAATTCTTCCAGCATTTCGGATCAAGTCTTGCTAACCCAGTGCTTACTTTTGCTCCTACTAGTAACATGTAGTGCATTCAATTTCCTAAATACTGCTCCCCTTATATGCATGACTGGAAAAGAAAAGGGATAAATATAAAGCCTGTTAGAGAGACAATCAGAAATTCCAACTGGCTTGGAATAGGGAGGGCAAGTTTCTTACTGGAGCTTGAACACAGTGTCAAACTGGCAGAGCACAAATTGTAGAGATGAGCAGGGAACTGAAGTCAGAATGTCTGAGAAAGAAATCTGGATGGTTTGCTAACGGGGGCAATTGCAAATTGGAACCTGAGAGAAATAAACTAAACTTAGGGAATTCGAGTCAAAGGGATAAACACAGAGCACAATGTGGTAGACTAGTCATGACTGATCAAAACGAGGTTTTATCTGCCTACTTTGGGTAATATCTGAAATGAAAGAAAACTTCATATTAAAGGAGCCAGAGAGTGAAATGTTATCATTCCCAGTATAAGCCTTCCCTAGCTCCAGCAGAATACCATTTCATCTTATCTACCTGGTCTTTTACTCCTCTTTTTCATTTTACACTTTTAAATCACATTGTAGATAAACTCACCTTTTTCTTTCTCCTGTATTCTTGACCAAACTTAGCCTAGCCTTGAGGAAACAGAATGCCATTCCCTCCAATGCTCTCCTAAGGAAGATCTGCTGTGTTGTTGGCTTCAGTGGCAGAAAGGTAAGTAGGGCCACTACTTCCCAATGATAGTCCCCTCAATGCTGACTAATATGGTTAGGCTTTGTATCCTCACTCAAATGTCATCTTGAATTGTAATCACTAGATGTTGAGGGAGACTGGTGGGAAGTGGTTGGATTATGGGGGCAGTTTCCCCCATGCTGTTCTTGTCATAGTGGGTGAATTCTCATGACATCTGATGATTTTATAAATGGTAGTTTTTTTTTTCCTGTGTTCTCATGCACTCCTTCTCTCCTGCCTCCTTGTGAAGAAGGACGTGTTTGCTTACCCTTCTGTAATGATTATAAGTTTCCTGAGACGTCCCCAGGCATGCAGGACTGTGAGTCAATTAAACGTCTTTCCTTTATAAATTACCCAGTCTCAGGCATTTCTTTATAGCAGTGTGAAAATGGACTAAAACACTGACCCATTTGTTTCCTTTTTTCTGGTCCCAGTGGATTCAAATAAGGTATGTGTATTGGACATCATTAAAAGTGTGATGATTCAGAAAAGAAAATACAGGATGTTACTGGATCCTTTACCAAATATATTTTTACCCAATCTAGGAGATTTAAAATGTTGGCCCTTGAATAGTGTCATTTCAGCTGAGAGGTAAAGGATGAGGAGGAGTAGGATAGGAGAATAGAAAAAAAAAGAAGAAGAAAAATTAGAGGGAACAGCAGTGTTTTCTAATATCTTTGTAGTCTCTCACTTTTGAAAAGAATTATAAAATGAAGGATTGCCAACTATCTCAGGAAAGCTATTTAATAAATGATAATGCCCAAACCTGACAAATGACCTACGAAGAGGCTTTTCACATGAAAGGTAGAGAAGAAGACTAATGAGGAGGGTAAGGGACAAAGAGAACACAGAGACTGTGTAGGGAAGAGAAAACTTAAAAACTACAACAACAATAAAGGATCATGAATACTCTTAGAGAGACAAGATACTGAAACCATTTTAAAAAGAAAAGCATTCCATGAAAAGGAACATTCAGACAACAGATGATCACAGCAGCGGGAAAAAAAAAAAGAAGAAAAAAAAAAAACCCTGCAGGTTTGGGAGGTGTAATGGGAAATATAAAGGCCCCTAAATATGTCCAAGTTCTAATCTCTGGAACCTAAGAGTTTATTAGGTTACATGGCAAAGAGGAATTAAAGTTACAGAGAGAATTAAAATTGCTAATAAATTGACCTTAAAATAGGTAGAGCAGCCTGGATTATCCAGGTGTGCCCAATGTAATGACAAGGTTCTTAAATGTGGAAGAGGGAGTTCCAGTGGCCAATGTGAAAATGAGTCAATGGGTCATTGCTAGCTTTAAAGATGGAAGGGAGGTATAAACCAAGAATACAAGCAGGAAGCCTCTAGAAACTGTAAAAAGCAAAAAGATGAATTCTCCTTTGGAGCCTGCCGTAGGGCCTCCAAAAAGGGATGCAGCCCTACTGATGATGGTGGTGGGAGGGAAACAGGTTCCTAGGAGGGGAAGGGCAGATCCATGATGAGGTCTGACCTTCAAGCCAGGAGTGGCCTGAAACCTAGGGGGTTGGTTGCCATTTCTGGGTGGAGTTTGCAACCCAGAGTGAGAACTTCCTTGATGCCTCTCAGACAATTGGATGGTTGTGATGGTTAATACTGAGTGTCAACTTGACTGGATTGAAGGATGCAAAGTATTGATCCTGGGCGTGTCTGTGAGGGTGTTGCCAAAGAAGTTTAATATTTGAGTCAGTGGGCTGGGAAAGGTAGACACACCCTTAATCTGGGTGGGCACCATCTAATCATCTGCCAGCACGGCTAGAATATAAAGCAGGCAGAAAAACGTGAAAAGACTAGACTGGCCTAGCCTCCCAGCCTACATCTTTCTCCTGGGCTGGATGCTTACTGCCTTCAAACATTGGATTCCAAGTTCTTCAGTTTGGGACCTGAACTGGCTTTCCTTGATCCTCAGACTGCAGACAGCCTACTGTGGAACCTAGTGATCATGTGAGTTAATACTTAATAAATTCCCCTTTATATATCTATATATCCATATCTATATATCTCTGAAGATATATATATCTATATATCTTCAGAGATATATCTATATATCCTATTATTTCTGTCCTTCTAGGGAACCCTAATACAATGGTGGTTTGTCCAGGCCCACTTATGGCCACCCATAGATCAGTCAGCACACACTTCCTCCCACCCATGGACCAATCAGCATGTGCTTCCTCCTTTTTGAGTTCATAAAAACCTGAGACTCAGCCAGACTCAGCCACTCATTGGAACTACCTGCCTGTGGATAGGAGCTGTCCACTTTACATCTCCTTTTCACTGAGAGCTGTTTGGTTGCCCAGTAAATCTCTTCTCCACCTTGCTTACCCTCCAGTTTTCTGTGTAACCTTATTCTTCCTAAACGCAGAGTGAAAACTCAGGACCCACCTAACAGTGAGAGCAAAAGGAGCTGTAATTCTTCCCTGACTGGCTCTTAGAGCTGCAGGGGATAGCTAAAGGGTCTGTAACACTATAGCCCTCCTACCCAGTGCAGGTGCCAGGTAGCTGCCCCATGCAATGAGAAACAGTGGCAGGCCCAGGCCAGCCCAGGAGCCATGGGTTGGAGCAGGGTGGCAGGACTGAAAGAGCTGTAACACAAATGAGCTGAAACACACTCCCCTGCCCAAACATGCCTCCCCACTCACTGAGCTGTGGGCAATGAGAAGGAGAGAAGAGCTACCACCCTTCTGGGATCCCAGACCTCAGGGCTCCCCAAGCCAGGGCTCTGACATGCTGTAACACCCTCTTTGGGGCTCTGTGGTTCCTTGCATCTCCAAGCTTTCAGGCACCACTGCATTCCCCTCATCCAGACACTAGTGCCTGCAGCAGGAGCCACTTGACTATGTCTGTTCCAGCTGCAGCCTCGCAGAGCCGGTGCCTTTGCCAGCACCTGGAGCTACCCACTCTGCTGCAGCAGCCAGCATGCCTGGCTGGACCCTGCGTTTGCTCACTCACACATCCCTCAGGGCTCCAGGCCTGACTCGCCCTTTGCAGGCATAGGATCTGGGCTGGTAGTGCAAGCCGAGCACAGTCTGTTGGGATGAGTTGGCAGAACAAATCCAGCAGATGTAAGCAAAACTCAAGCAGAGGTGCCACTGGCCACAGAGGTTTCTGGCTAGCCAAGTAACACCCTGAGGATCCTGTTACACTGACAACTTGATTTAGCTCAGTGAGACCCATTTCAGACATCCAGCCTCCAGAAATGTAAGGTAATATATTTCTATTGTTTTCAGGTATAAGTGAGTGGTAATTTGTTACAATGGCAATAGGAAACTGATATGGAAGGTAAATTTCAAAAAATGTCTCAGAAATCAGAGAATAGACAAATAAATACAAATTAATAGAGAAAAGATAAGAAAATAAGATGATTCCAAGATGACCATATCCAAGAACAAAAAATGTAATTAAAAAATGGAGGGGAAGAAACAGTCAAAAAAGTTTCAAGAACATTTCTCAGAATTAAAACACATGGGCTTCTATTTATTACAATAATGGAAGCCCATGAATTGAGAGAGCTCAACAGTCACAACAACTCATACATTCAGAAGGGTGCATTTGAGAAAATGCTGGCCAAAGTCATCTCTAAAAGTCAAATGCTGCCAGGAGGAAAGCTGCCCCATACTGTTTCAGAGCTAAAAATTGAATGCGTCCTGGTCTTTCTTATTTTATATTTATAGACCAAGCAATGATCCTGAAAAAACTCCCCAGGGAAATGCCCAGCAGAATCATACAGTAGTTCTATCTGCACTCAAAAACTGATGTCTAACAGCAATTTTCTATTATATCTTAAGAATATCCAGGGCTACTTCTTGAGACTAATAATAATTACAATGTGAGAAAAGCACTCAGTAGATCAGTTAAATAGTGGTGTCAGAATACAATGGACTGTTTTGCTGCCATTAAAATGATTCATCTCTAACAGTAAACAATTTGCAAAGTATTTATGCATATACAATTAGAGAACAAGTTACTTGTTATAGAACAAGATATTGGGGCTTTGTGTAAAAATGAATGGAGATGTTGAGTGGATATGAATATATATATATATATATATATATATATATATATATATATATATATATGTAATTTTTTTTCCATCTGTGAAGATTGATGAGAGACTGCTTAAAGTGTTTTCTTCTTAAAAGCAGATCCAAGGAAATAGAGATCAGGAGTCAGAGGTAGACTTTTATTGCTCTACATATTCCTTTTCATCCATCCATTGCCCTCTCACCAAGAAATAAAAAAGTTTAAAGTGTTCCCCAAATTTAAAAACAAAAGACGAGGAATTAAGAGTCAACCCTTATTAAAGAATCAAGCAATAAAAGAGCTGAAAATTGTACATTGCATTTAGTGACACAAAGGTCAGCAGTCACCATAGGGAAAAGCAAATGTATTGAAGTCAAATGGAACAAAGGCAGACAGGAGTAGACAGGCAAGTAAGTGGGAGGTGAAGAAGTGGATGAAGTGGGTATAGGAGAATTTATCTAGATGTTTGGTTGTGTAGGATAGATACATTTGGGATGGTAGGGAGGGAGAAGTTCAAGATGTTTTTGGAAAAATAGAAGAGAATGTTTTAAAACAGAAAGACATGGGGAAAAAAAGGAAATTAAAAATACAAAAAGAGAAGTACAGAATTCATGGCAGAAGCACATACCCCACTGTTTTGAGACTCAGCGAGACTCAGGTAAAGCCTCCAAGGGTAAAAAAAAATGCATGAGCTGCAATACCAGGTTGAGTAACTTACAAGCTAGGTAGGGAGAGGAGGATAGCTATAGTCAAGGACATTAGGAGTCAATGTCCAGAGCATGTGGAGAGAAATAGAGAGAAAGGGAGAGAGAGAGAGGATATCAGAGTGGCAAGAGAAAAGGATACAGAAGGAAAAGAGAGATAAATCACTAGGAAAATTATAAAGCATAAGAAATAGGATAAAATAATGCTATTATCTTAATGTAAGCATTCCACTTAAGGCAGAAACTGTCTTGGTGCGTGATATGGTTTGATTGTGTCCCTATCCAAAATCTCTTCTTGAATTGTAATTCCTATAATCCCCACATGTCAAGGGAGAGACCGAGTGGAGTTAATTAAAACATGGGGGCGGTTTCCTCCATGCTGTTTACGTGATAGTGAGTGAGTACTCATGAGATCTGATGGTTTTGTAAGTGTTTGGTAGTTCCGCCTGCATTCGTTCTCCTTCCTGCCACCTTGTGAAGAAGGCGCCTTGCTTCCCCTTTACCTTCCACCATGATTGTAAGTTACCTGAGGCCTCTCCAGCCATGCTGAACTGTGAGTCAATTAAATCTCCTTCCTTTATAAATTACCCAATCTTGGGCAGTGCTTTATAGCACTGTGAAAACAGACTAATACAGTTTGGGACAATAACTTATTGAAATAAAAGGTGAGCTCTGAGAAAAGGAGTTAGCAAGCAACAAAAGAGATTAAACTCAACTGCATTGGGAATATAACAGGACTAATGGAATAAAGAAAGAAAGGGAATCGACCTATGCAGAGGGAGAAGAATGACTCAGCAATGTGGTGAAGGAGCTAAAATGAGTTTTAGAGTTAAGAATGCCTCATCTAAAATCAAACCTAGAGAAAGAAAGAAGGAGTCCACTTAAATTAGATGTATGTAAAATACCAAACTCAGTGCTTGGCACATGGAAAGCTATCAACAAATGTAGTTATTATTATGGGGATCTAAATGTAATGAAATCGTAAGGTTTATTTTCAAGTTTTCTTTCTTTTTGTATTTATAGCTTGGATTTAAGCTAGTAAAAACGAGGAAATTTCTTTAGGCTAATAAAAAACAAGGAACTGTTGAATAACAAATAATACTTCATCTTCAATTTTAAACCTGTTTATATTGCCACAGGGCTAAGTGCCAATCTCTTTGGTATCATCAAATATCCAATCTATTGACCACATGATCAATACTTAGCAGTTACTTTTAACCTGTCATTCAAGCAAAGTAGCTGAGTCCTATGCCTAGTTCTAGACCTAGCATAAAACAGGAACATCATCCATCTTTAAAATAAACCACTTCCACAAAGCAGATGCTTACAGCCAGAGTTGATCATGAGAAACTAAATTTTCTGGAAATACACTGACATTTTAAGAAGATACTAAGCTTTTAACAAGTCATGGGATAGCATTTTGGAAACAAATTTCTGTATTTTAAGGAGCAGAGAAATCACAGAAGACATAAATGGCATTAATAAATTTAGACATTATCCTGCAGTTAATGATAACTTGTTAGTGCAGAGTAACAATAAATTTCGGTAGTTATTTGTTTTAATAATGTCTTCAATGTTGTAAATATATTTCTCAATCTAAGTCTATAGATAAGGAAACTGATTGAGATTAATCCAAGTCTGTAGATAAGGAAACACAGTGACATGGTCCCAGCCTCGTCTTGCCCACTGTGAGCCCCAAACCTTCCTCCTACATAGTGAAATTGGTGTCCACCCTCTATACCCATAGCACAATACTTGTCTTTCTGCTTATTATTTTGTAATTCAGTTGAATTTTGTCCATTACCTTACTACTTGGACACACTAAATTTTGTAGCCATACGGATTTTTGGCCAACCCTTGTCCGTATCTCAGTCATCCTGAGCATTTCTACCATTCTGGTAAAGAGCTATTCCAAACTCAGTTTCATCCAGCAGCATGGATGAAAGCAATAATAAATATTTGAAAATTCGAAAGCTGGAATCAATAGATGTGAGACTGAATGAACATGAGAAGTGAGAGTGGGAGAAGAAAAATAGATTTGAGCCTAGATTTCTAGACGTTGGACTGCATAGCAAGGGCTGTTAATCCCTTCTATGGCACTACAAACATCTGTTCAGTTGGGTTCAGGGCTGCCTGAAATAACAGCTACATTAACCAGCTTCCTTTGAAGCTTGCTTTGGACTTGGGACTGAGTTCAAAGCTCTAAGCGGTGGTAGCATGCACAACTTCATGGAAATGTTCTTAAATGGAATCATAGTGGTTTTTTTTCTTCTATCTGGTGTCATCATCATGATGATGTTAGCTGAAGCTCCACCAGCTATCTGTGACAATGCTAAACTGGAGAGAAATGTAGGGGTGGCAGAGGAATAATCTAGAAGAAAATGATTTCTAAAAATGCATGGAACTGTCATACAAGCCCAGAACTGCTGACTTCTGGCCTTTTTTACATAACAGAATAAAATTTAGGATGGTTAAGCCAACATCAATTTGGGTTTTCTGTCACATTCATCATCTTAACCAATATAGCTATCTCTATTTATGTTGATATCACTCAGTGCTAAAAAATACAAAAAGAAGGAGTTTGTCAGGGAAAGAAAAGGAGTTCAATTTTGCATACATGGAATTTAAGTTGCTTATGAAACATTCAGATGGAGATGGCAGTGAGATGAGAAGAGGGCCAAAGACAGAGACTTTTTTAAAGTGAAAAATTAAGAATCTGATACAGAAATAAAAGCCAGAAAGAAGACTAATTACGCAGTGGCTAAAAAAATATGAAGTTTCAACATCACGAGAACCAAGAGTGAAGTTTGTTTCAGGAAGAATCAAGTGGTCAACAAAGACAGATGTTCAAATGCCAAGGAAAGTAAGCAGGGAAGCATGTCTCTTGAATTAAAGGATAACAAAGTTATTGGCATCCTGGGTGAAAGCAGTTTCAGTAAAGAGGACCCAGGAGAAGGCAGATTGCCAGTGAGTTGAGTTCAGAGTGACAAATAGAGACAGGCAACACAGTGACATGGTCCCAGCCTCGTCTTGCCCACTATGAGCCCCAAACCTTCCTCCTACATAGTGAAATTGGTGTCCACCCTCTCTACCCAGAGCACAATACTTGTCTTTCTTCTTATTATTTTGTAATTCAGTTAAATTTTGTCCATTACCTTACTACTTGGACACATGAAATTTTGTAGCCATACAGATTTTTGGCCAACCCTTGTCCATATCTCAGTCATCCTGAGCATTTCTACCATTCTGGTAAAGAGCTATTCCAAACTCAGTCTATTCTCTTAAAGTTGCCAACTAATCTTCAAATCCCTAATTCTGCAAATAACATCATCTACTACTTCATAAAGCAGCATTCTCAACCTAGGTACCATCGATATATTGGGCTGAATAATTCTTTTTATGTGGGAGGTGCAAAGTAGGTTCACTGTGCACTAGTTACCAACTTGTTTGAGTCTGGTCAGACATCTACACACACAGCAAGTTACATGAAGTGGGTTCATTATTTACAGATAGGCAACAAGGGACAACAGAAGCCTAGGATTTATTACTCAGGAAAGCTACCTGGGGCAGATGGAGTCTGAACTATGTCTGTCCCACTTGCACCACAGCTGAGGGCCCCTGGAAAGCAGTTTGCCCTGGTTTTATACCCTGGGGGTCACATGCATGCTGGGCTAAAATTTTCAAAGACATCCTTCTTGGGGAGGTGTCAGGGCTAAAACAGATTTAGGCCTGCTTCAGCCACCTCCCCTTTATCTCAAGATATGGCATTCCCAGCACATTCTACAGTTATTCTTGAAAACTATAAAGGAGAGAAAACCGGGCTGGTCCAAGACCACCCACAGATCAGCCCTGAAGGGTGTTCTGCTGTGTTTTTGCAGAATGTTTAGCAGCATTCCTGGCCTCCATGCCTTAGAGGCCAGTAGCAATGTCTCCACCAGTTATTACAACCAAGAGTGTCTCCAAACATTGTTCAATATTGACATCTACTAGTGAGGGAAAAGTTACCCCCAGTTGAGAACCACATTCCTCTGGTAAAAAAGACCATCTGTCAAGAACTTTGCCAATCTCCTTCCCCAACAGCTGCAGACTCAATATTGCTTTGCACTCTTCACCTAGACACTTGAAAGACAGGACTCGAGTCATTTTGAGAATGAACTTTTCATACCTTTGTGTCTTTCAGCTTCTCCTATTGAGCTGCTCCCCCTCAGCCTGTATGCAGGTTAGTTGGTCCTGATAAAATGTCTTTATTCTGAATCTCCTTTAGCAATAGTCCTTCCTCTCACCTTCTCTAAAAAGGCAATATTTATCTTCTCTACGTATCCACCTGATTTCTTACTTCAGAACACCCAAACCCTACACATCAGCCATGTTAAACCACCTACTTATAGTTTTTATTCCTGCCTCAGTTTCTCATTCTTTCTTTTGCCCTTCTCTTCTCTCTACATAAAATGCTCTTTCCCCCTTTTCCTTTTCATTCATTTGTCTAACACTGATGCATCCTTAAAGACTCAATACAAGAAGTCTTCCTGGCCCTAATATTATGGACAAAGTTCCTTGCTAGTGTACTTTCAGACACTATGGGTTGACTGTTGTCACTAAACATATGACACTCTTACATTTTATTTTCCTTTCCTTCTGTTTTCACAGCTGTAAACTCCTTGAGGGCAGGGTCTATAGCCCCTTTTCCTTTGTGCTTAGCTTTTGTAATCCAGAATGAACATGAATGGTGCCATATTGTCACACTTAAGCAGTTTTTGTTCCTTTGACTTAGTTTTGCTCTACTATGTTCAGGTACAATGGAAGCTGTTAGGAATTTCATTTACACCTTGGGGCCCTGCAAATACATCACCTTCAGCTCTATTTTGTTCAACTCATTTTTTTCTATCAATTTATCTGCTCATCAGGAGAGATGAAAGTAATGGAAATAACACATTCTGCTGAGGGACGGGTTAATAACTGCTCCTATCTGACAATGCAGCTGCAGCTTTCCAATTGGAACCAAGCTGCTTATTCATTGATCGATGGCCCTAACGGAAATGGTTTGCTTTCCTTACTTAGAAAGGTAAGCCACAGCTCTAAAAGAGGCTTTTTAAGACCTCTTCCTGAAAACTTTCCATGAAGTTAATCAAAGATAGTGGATAAAACTTTATTTTATGACACTACCAAATGACCTAAATAACCCATTTCCATTTTTGTTTAGTTGAGACTATACTGAGTGATCTAAAATTATAACAGCATCAGATAAGCTTAGAAC
Source organism: Homo sapiens (assembly GCF_000001405.40). Lineage (NCBI taxonomy): Eukaryota > Metazoa > Chordata > Mammalia > Primates > Hominidae > Homo > Homo sapiens. Next base: position 17,959,800 of record NC_000005.10, on the reverse strand, counting down.
CACAAGACATCATGCACTGTGCTATTACTGGGTTGACAATAAAACATATATTCTGTTTAGTTTTTATTTAAATCCAATAGCTCAGAAGATTTGACTGATTAAGATTTTTTAAACAAAAACCCTGTGAAACTACAAAAATAGCCTTTTTTGCCTTTTTTTTTTTTTTTTTTTTTTTTTTTTTTTTTTTTTTTTTTGAGACGGAGATTTGCTCTTGTTGCCCAGGCTGGAGTGGAGTGGCATGATCTCAGTTCACTGCAACCTCCACCTCCCAGGTTCAAGCGATTCTCCTGCCTCAGCCTCCCAAGTAGCTGGGATTACAGGCGCCCACCACCACGCCCGGCTAATTTTTGTATTTTTAGTAGAGACAGGGTTTCACCACATTGGCCAGGTCTCAAACTCCTGACTTCAGGTGATCCACCCACCTCGGCCTCCCAAAAAAGTTATCCTTATATAATTAAAGTGTTTCAGGAATCTTACCATTTCTTCTCATAAGGAAAAAATGTATACCTTGTACAAAGATAGTAGTTTTGTCCTAGAGTTATGAGAACTTTATTATAATAATTTAATCACATTTTAAAACAAATGTATTCTAAGCTGTTGTAGGTTTATCTAGTCGAGAAATTTATAACTCCACTTCTTTGCTTGACATCTGGGAATGAAAACACTAGGTAAATAACAAGAAAATCTTTATATCTAAACTTGCAATTTTGCCTCTTCTGTTCTACTTGTTTGAAATCAATTCATTTAAAGATATATTTTGATATGTTTTACTAATTAGGTAGGTAGAAAGGTAAGGATACTGTTCAAAACGTTTATGCCTAAAACTTTATGCCAAAATTGTGCAATTAACCGAAGAGTGAAGGAAGTCATTGGTATATTTGCAATTGTTTCTTCAAAATTTCAGTATAAAGAAATTAATTGCAAACATAAGCATGCATATGAAATCCAGGTTTAACTAAGGATATTCTTCCTTGATGAGATTGAGATAAATAGCTCTTCATCATGAGAACCTAGTAAGGTTCTTTGAGGCAAAGCCTATGAAAAGGTGAAAGACCCTTAAGACTGGGGCCTACAGGAGGTCCTCACACTCACACTAGTCCGTACTCAGCTTCCAGCAATCGGTCAAAATTACTATTTTCATGTTTTTATGAGTTTGTGGCTCAAGCAAAATTTGTTCCTGGTTAGTCAATCTCAGCAGTGCCCCTCTGGATGCACCTGTCTTTCCAGATTTTGGAGTGCTGGTTTGGACTACAATTTCAATTCTTTGGTGGATCTGAAAAAAATCATTGATTTTTAGTTTTTCTGGGTTTTTCTTGTTTTAATAATGAAGTGAAGACTTTTAAGCTCTTTACCTCTGAGAGATGAAGCCAAAAATCCTTCCTGGTAATCATTTCAACAACATATTTTTAGTTTTCCATGTTAGGTTTTGATAAATTGAATCACTATACTTCTTTTTATAAAAACCTAATGAAACTACTGCTATCATGCCATAAGATGAAACTATTGCTCTCATCTTGACACTTGTAAGAGTCAATAAAATAGAAAGGTTTCCCCTAACTAGAGCATATATGCAATGATTTTCTCAACAGCTTTATAGAAAAAAGAAAAAGAAAACTTGGAAAAGTAAATATCATCATATTTTTTATCAAAGTAAAAATTGATCTAGCAATAATTCAAATTTCAGGTACAACAAAAGTCAGTGTCAATTTAATGATAAGGTCTACTTCCCTAGATTTTCAAATTAGGAAGGATTTTGGAATTCATTTAAACAAGTGATTTGAAATCCAAGGTTTATGCAATTCCCCAAGGGCAGAAGATCGAAATGACAGCCTGTGAGCACGATGGTGCAGTGTGCACTTCTCAAGAGTACTGGCTGTTTTGCACCTGCATGAACAAGACACAGGCTCAGTGAGGAAGGCAGTGCTGGGTTGTTTGTATCAAGTGAGATGCCATGGCTGTTTCACAGTGTCATTTCTGCTGCATCTTCAGGTGATATTTTCATCAGTCCCCATCTTCATGTCATCTTTCCTACTACAGTGGTTACCATGAGCACACATCAAAACTCTTTTCCACCTCTGTACCATTTTTTAATGTTGCTTTTTTTGTATGATTTTCCCCACAAAAGGAAATGAAAATGGAAAAACTCACTTATGTAATGGACATAAAAGAAGCTCTAATACCATAGTACGAACACTCAAACTTGTTATTCTCAAAACAAAACTTTAACTACAGTTCTTGACAGTATCAATATCAACACAGTGATGCCAGCTATCATGAAGCTGACCAGATCATGATTGAGATCTTGAAGTCATTTGTTTTTGTTTCACTTAAGAAGCTATTTTTACAGATGAACAAATGTAAGCTCATAACTCAAGTATGACTATGGTTTATATTTCTTATATGTATTTCTATTTTTAGCATCAATCCAATCACATGGAAGAAACTTATTTTCAAGTCCCTACCTAATACATTTTCCTATAGTTGGAACTAACAACCAGGGGACACACATAGTTTTAGGGAACACAGATTTCTATACGCATGTATGTGTGTGTACACATGCCTTATAACCTGAGATTCTGCCATTTTTATCTACAGACACATCTTCTGAAATGTCCGTCTTCTGTGTTATTCATATGTCCAAGTAGAAATACTGCTTTGTCATATTTCTTTTCCTTTATGCCAGGCCTCTTCAGGTATGACCATTTTGTTTGTTACTTCTGCTTCCCTCCGGGTTGCAAGATAATTTATATATTTATAAATATATATATACATTATATAGAGTAAATATGTATATAAAATCTCTTTGGGGACTTGTACTATATTCTGAAACTATATTCTGAGCTCATTTCTCCAAAATACTACTACTTACGTACCAATCAGTATATGACTCTGTAGATATCATTAGCTCCACCCCAATTCCAACATGAACAGATATAAACATGTATCATATATCCAGAGTTTTTATGGATGGGTAGATAAGGCTGGATAAAGGTACAGTTCGCACTCCCCTTAAGACTGGAACTAGAGTCACCCCTGATTCTTTCAAGAAGCTTTTTGTTGTCTACACATTATCATCAATGCTACAAAGGAAATGTGGACATGGATGCAGGCACAATTCCCCTTCTCAGAGGGAGCTCTCAATGGACTCAGGTTAACTGGTGGGGGTGCCATGTCCTAGCCATATTCCACACCACTTCCTCCTCATCAGAGTCATTTTTCTGTCTCTGGACATAGAAAATCTCCAATACTAGAGAAAAAATGAATTAAAGTCTACTGCTTAAATTGTCAATAAATAAATAGTATACAGTCTTGGCACACTTTCCGTAACCTCCTAAGCCTCATTTTCATTATGCATATAATTATTGTGGTGTGTTTAGTTTTCCTATTGGAAAAGTGTAAGTATGCCTTTTGGTTTCATTGAATCCATAGTGGTTACCTTAGAAATATAATCTTTCTTGGGATGATCACTATGTTTTCTAGGGTTACATTGGATCCTGGCATCCTAGTGTTCAAAGGATGTCAGAAGGGATAGCATTCTACTAGTACTCAATTAATTATACTTAAAGATATTAAGGAACATGCTAGTTTGGTTGCTTTTACTTGCCTGGTGAATAATGTTAGTATTTTTTTTAATCTCTCCAGAAAAAGATCCAGTTATTTTAGAAATCCCTATTTCTAGATACAGACTTAAAAATCACTTCCCACATCCCTCCTTGTTTAAGTGTTCTCAGAACTGTCATTGGAAAATTGAATTTCATGTTTTTCTTACACTCTTTTCCTTCTGAAAAATCACCCTTTTTCTTCTCCCAGGGCGCTCATAACATTCTATGGAATTACTTCAAATCTCTTCTCATATAGGACCATGGAAATTCCAATTAGCCATACATTCTGAAAATCTGCCTACTCACTGACAATTTGTATTAGGCTGCTTTGCATTGTTATGAAGGAATACATGAAGCCGGGTAATTTATAAAGAAAAGGTGTTTATTTTGTTCCATCGTTGTTCTGCAGATTGTACAGGAAGCATGTTGCCAATGTCAGCCTTTGGTGATGTCCTCACGAAGTTTACAATCATGATCGAAGGTGAAGGGGGAGTAGGCATATCACCTGGTGAGAGAGGGAACAACAGAGATGCTAGGCTACTTTAAATGACCAGCTCTTGCCTGAACTAATAGAGTGAGAACTCATTATTATGGGGAAGGCACCAACCCATTCATGATGTATCCACCCCCATGGCCCAGACACCTTCCAGCAGACCCCACCTCCAACATTGGGGATCATATTTCAACATGAGATGTGGAGGCGAAACACACATCCAAACCATATCACAATTCTCCCATAAGAGAATAGACCATGATTCAAGATTCAGTGATTCAAGATACTCTTGCATTCATTCTAGTTGACTGTTGTTTATGAGTTATAATTCATATAAAATGCATCCTTTTAAAATATACAATTCAGTGCTCTTTAGCATATTCCCAAAGTTGTTAAAACTATAATTTTAGAAGATTTCACCATTTCCAAAAAAAAAAAAATTCTGTACCTTTTTGCAGTAACTCCACATTCCTCCCTCTTTCAGCCCCTAACAGCCAGTTGTCTGTTTTCTGTCTCTATAAATTTGCCTGTATTATTCATATAAATGAAATCATACTATATGTGGTGTTTTGTGACTTGCCTCTTTCACCTAGAATTAACACTATTTTAAGTGTTTTTTTTTATTTCTCCTTCATTTCTAATTTTCTTTTTAAATTTTTTTCTAGCATAATACTTTTCCAGGTTCAATCCTATTGTAACATGCATCACTATTTTATTTCTTTGTATTGCCAAATATTATTGAATTGTATGGATATACTATATTTTATTTACTCATTGCATCAGTTGATGAGCACTTTTAATTTCTTCCATCTTTTGCTCATTATGAATCATGCCACTGTGATCTTTCATGTCCAAGGATTTGGATGCATATAAATTTCCATTTACTTTGGGTATAGTCTTAAGAGTGGAATTGCTAGGTCATGTGGTAACTCTATATTTAACATTCTGAAGTACTACCAAGAATGCTTTCCAAAATGGCTGCACCATTCTAAAAGTTCACCAGCTACATGTAAGAGTTTCAATTTCTCCACAACTTTCCCAGCATTTGTTATTTTCTGTCTTTTTCATTTTAGACAGCCTAGTGGGTATGAAGTGGTATTTCTTGATTACTAATGATGTTAAGTATTTTTTTATGTATCTGTTGACCGTTTATAGATCTTCTGTAGAGAAAAGAATATTCAAGTCTTTTGCCCACTTTTTTCGGTTGGGTTGTTCTTTTGTTGTCTAGAACTCTGAAGTTGTATACAAAGTATGAGGACCCTCTTGAGGGACGCATTGGGTTTTTAGATATCTTCCTTTCTCCTTTGACTGTTTCTTCTCTTCCCCAAACCTGAGAAAACTTCATCTAGACTTGTTCAGATTCATCGTGTGTTCTTCATATCCCAAGTCCCATGGGGTCCTAGATTTTTAGTACTTAAAAATCTTCTGTTTTTCTGTAATATTTTAGTTTCCCTGAGGCATACTGTATTATAATGCAAGTAACTGAGAGGAAAGAAAGGGGAAACAAAATGAAGAAGAGAAAAAAAGTTTAACATTTCAATATCTTATTTGAACACAAAGTATTCTAACAAGACATCTAGTTGTGTGTCAAGAAAAGGAAGCTGCATAAAATCGCTAAAATATGTAAATCTCATACATTGGAATTTTTTTTAATTTTTAAATTTTAATCATTATAGATATATAATAGTTGTAGATATTTATGGGACACATGTGACATTTTGATACAATCATACAACATGTAACAATCAAATCAAGGTAATTGGGATAACCATCATCTAGAGCTCATATCATTTCTTTTTGGTAGGAAATTCCAATTTTACTCTTTTAAGTATTTTGAAAAATACAATAAATTATTTTTAACTATAGTCTCCCTATTGTGCTACTTGAACACTTGATTTTATTCCTTCTATCTAACTGTTGTCAAATTTAAAAAGGAACGTGGCAGTTTTATTTGCCTAATTACCAGCTTTATTCTGAAATTTGTGACAGCCCAGCTGTCTCATAGAATAGGAGATATCAATATTGGTCTTCTTATAATGGGCACTTTTCTTCAGAGGTCTATTGATGTTGAGGTTAAAATCAGCTGATGTATTTGTTTGATAAATATCATAGAAGAGTTATTCTGTGAATTACTGCAATTAGTTTAGTGCCCCTATTATCAGAAATTTCTTATAGAATTATATGGTAAAACTTAATCGTATAAATCAGTTCTATTAATAAAGCACCCATAAAAAATAAATCACAACGTGTTGCCCACTTAAAGAAATATTCACATAACAGAATCACAAAATATATTCTGCACTGTTATTTTAAGCACTTGCTGCAAAGTTTTTCCTACAAATTTGAATGGCTCCTAGACCACCATTGTTAGTGCAGTAAATTTACTTGAAGCCACACAAAATCGTTACCTATTCTGTAGTTATGAAAAAATGGATAATGAGTACACTTTATTTTCTATAAAAGAGTGAGTTTGCCTTCCACAGTCAAATATTTATCCAAATTTCAAAAAGCATGAAGATGTATTTGTTCTTTTGCAACCAAAGAAATAAGTTATGTAATGATTTAAAATAGAGAATTTATTATCAGCTAGCAGAGAGAATAGACATATCAGAATACAACACAGTAATGACTAGAGTTTTAGAGTTTTATTAGAAAATTTTCATCTTCAATAAGGCAATTCAATAAGAGAAATTGTATTGTTCCATTCCACAATAAAACATATTTCCAAAAATAAATATGCAAATACAGAGATAATAATTTGCAACAATTGAGTGACTCTTTCTGTGGGTAAAATTCCTCTAGTGATATTGATGAAATAGAAATAAATAGATGTTAAATTAATTTATTTTACAATAGATTGCAATGACAATGGTGATTTAATGAAAGACCATTTCTCAGTTATGAGGCAATGGCCACATGTGAGTGGAATGTGAAAGGGTACAGTTGGAGAATATCTGACATGCTCAACTCTCATATTTTTATAAATTATGATGTCGATGTCACTGAAGTTTGTTCTCACATTTGCTTCTACTACCTGCTGGTAATATACAGTACAGAATTTTTACCACTTCTACCATAAACAAAGGTCAGCAATCACTTTAAAATACAAATGTTGACACATGGTTACTTTATCAAAAGTTTCCCTTCGCTTAAACCTCATTGAAGAAAATCTAAAGAAGCACAGCAGTGTGTGGAGACTCACATCCTGAACTTCTGCTCCAGGAACTACCACAGGAACATACCAGGAAAGCCAAGAGAATTCACAGACTCTTTGAAGGAAGCAGATTTCTCCTGCAGGACCCGGGAGAGAGCTGAAAACCTTTGAGTGTCCCAAGTGTGAAAGGCGGATCAATCATCTGCCCCAGAACACAAACCCTCACTGGGGAACCTGAAGGTCCAGATCATGGGAGAATTTGACCTTACCTGGAGATCAGACAAATTTAGAGAGCCAAGCAAAATATAGGGGTCGAAGATGCAGTGGAAAGAGCCCTGTGGGCTCTCTCAGTCCCCAGGGAAGCCATTTCTGACTTTATCTTGCAGAGGTCCTTGGGGAGGGCTCACAGGGGAACTGGGAAAAGACCACAGGGAAAAGGAAACTTCCAGCTGAACTTTGTAACAATTTCGGCTGAATGGGAAGTTTCCTGGACAGAACTCAGAGGAGGAGGTGAATCAGGAGTGCAAACATAGCTCAGAAGCCAAGGCAGGCAGGGAAGTGCAAAACCGGAAAGGCTTGCTTGCTTTCTCAGTGGGGAGGCTTGCAGCCTGGGGCAAGTTCTCAGCCCTGCTCACCTGGCTGCCTGGAAATAAACTCAGTGCTCTTGGGAGAGGGCATGGTGGGAGTGAGACCAGTCTTTTGGGCTGCACGGGAGCTGGGTGAGGCCTGTAACTGCCAGCTTTCCCCTGCTTCCCTGGCGACCTGCATGAGGCAGCAGAGGCAGCCATAAACCCCCTGGGAAAATAACTCCACTGGCCTAAGAACAATACCGCCATTCTCCACAGCAGCAGCAGCAAGTCCCACCCAAGGAGAATCTGAGCTCAGACACGCCTAACCCTCCCCCCACCTGACGGTCTTTCTCTCCTGTCCTGGTAGCCAAAGACAAATGACATAATCTTTTGGGAGCTCTAGGGCCCTGCCCACCACCTGATCCTCCCTATACTACTAGAGTTGATGCTCTCCTGAAAGCGCCACCTCCTGGCAGGAGACCAACCAACACAAAACTAGTGCAATAAATGAACGACAACTAAGGACCCTCACAGAGTCCATTTCACTCCCCTGCCACCTGTGATAGAGCAGATGCTTCTATCCATGGCTGAGTGACCTGAAGATGGTTCACATCACAGGACTCTGTGCAGGCACCTGCCAGTGCCAGCTTGGAGCCTGGTAGTTCTGCTGGATGGCCAGATTCAGAAGAGAAATTACAATCATTGCAGTTTGGCTCATAGGAAGCCACATCCCTAGGGAAAGAGAGAGAGCACTACCTAAGGGAGAAACACTGTGGAACAAAGGAATCTGAACAGCAACGCTTGAGCCCCATATCTTCCCTCTGACATAGTCTACCCAAATGAGAAGGAACTAGAAAAACAATTCTGGTAATATGACAAACCAAGTTTCTTTAAACCCCCAGAAGATCACACTAGCTCATGAGTAATGGATTCAAACCAAGAACAAATCCCTGAATTGCCAGAAAAATAATTCAGAAGATTGATTATTAAGCTAATCAAGGAGGCATCAGAGAAAGGTGAAGTCCAACTTAATAAAATCAAAAAAGTTATAAGATATGAAGCGAAAAATCTTCAGTGAAATATATAGCATAAGTGAAAAACTGTCACAACTTCTGGAAATGAAGGACACACTTAGAGAAATGCAAAATACCCTGAAAAGTCTCAGCAATAGAATCAAACAAGTAGAAGAAAAAAACTTCAGAGCTTGAAGACAAGCTTTTTGAATTAACCCAATCCAACAAAGACAAAGAAAAATGAATTTAAAGAAATGTACAAAGCCTCCAAGAAGTTTGGGATTATGTTATATGTCCAAACCTCAGAGCAATTGGTATTCTTGAGGAAAAAGAGAAATCTAAAAGTTTGGAAAACATATTTGAAGAAATGGTAGAGGAAAACTTCCACAGCCTTGCTAGTGATCTAGACATCCAAGTACAAGAAGGTCAAAGAATACCTGAGAAATTTTACCACAAAAAGATCACCTATGCACAGAGTCATCAGGTTATCTAAAGTCAAGACAAAGTAAAGAATCTTAAGAGGTGTAAGGCAAAAGCACCAGATAATCTATAAAGGAAAGCATATTAGATTAACAGCAGATTTCTCAGCAGAAACCCTACGAGCTAGAAGGAACTGTGGCTCTATCTGCAGCCTCCTTTAAAAAAAATTATCAGCCAAGAATTTTGTATCCAGTGAAACTAAGCTTCATAAATGAAGAAAAGATACAGACTTTTTCAGACAAAAAAAAGAAATGCTGAGAGAATTCACCACTAGCAAGCCAACACTACAAGAACTGCTAAAAGGAGCTCTAAATCTTGAAACAAATCCTGAGAACTATACCAAAATAGAACCTCCTTAAAGCATGTATCTCACAGGACTTATAAAACTATAACACAATGAAAGAAAAAACACAAGGTACTCAGGCAACAAATAGCATGATGAATAGAATAGTACCTCATATCTCAATACTAACATTGAATGTAAATGGCCTAAATGCTCCACTTAAAAGATACAGAATGGCAGAATGGATAAGAATTCACCAACCAAGTATCTGCTACCTTCAAGAGACTCACTTGACATGTAAGGACTCACATAAACTTAAGAGAAAGAGGTGTAAAAAGACATTTCATGCAAATGGACCCGAAAAGGAAGCAGGAGTAGCTATTCTTATATCAGACAAAACAAACTTTAAAGCAACAGCAGTTAAAAAAGACAAAGAGGAACATTATATAATGATAAAAGGACTAGTCCAAAAGAAAAATATCACAATCCTAAATATATATGCACCTAACACTGGGGATCCCAAATTTATAAAACAATTACTACCAGAGCTAAGAAATGAGACAGAGAGCAACACAAGAATAGTGGAGACTTTGATAGTCCACTAAAAGCACTAGACAAGTCACGAAGACAGAACCTCAACAAAGAAACAATGGACTTAAACTATACCCTAGAACAAATGGACTTAACAGGTATTTACAGAATATTCTACTCAGCAACTACAGAATATATATTCCATTCATCAGCACATGGAACATTCTCCAAGATAGCCCATATTATAGACCACAAAACATGTCTCTATAAATTTAAGAAAAGTGAAGTTATATCAAGTACTCTCTCAGACCACTACAGAATAAAACTGAAAATCAACTCCAAAATGAGCCCTCAAAATCATGTAAATACATGGAAATTAAATGACCTGCTCTTGAATGATCATTGATCCAACAATGAAAGAAAAATGGAAATTTAAAAATTCTTTGAACTGAACGATAATAGTGACACAACCTATCAAAACTTCTGGGATACAGCAAAGGCAATGCTAAGAGAAAATTTCATAGCATTAAATGCTTATATCACAAAGTCTGAAATTGTAACAGCCTGACCAATGTGGAGAAATCCTGTCTCTACTAAAAATACAAAATTAGCCAGGCATGGTGGCTCATGCCTGTAATCCCAGCTACTCGGGAGGCTGAGGAAGGAGAAACACTTGAACCTGAGCTGACATCATGCCATTTCACTCCAGCCTGGGCAACAAGAGCGAAGCTCCATCTCAAAAAAATAAAAACAAAAGAAAAAAATCTGAAAGAGCACAAATGGACAATCTAAGCTCACACCTCACAGAACTAGAGAAACAAGAACAGACCAAACCCAAGCCCAGAAGAAGTAGAGAAACAACAAAGATTAGAGGAGAACTAAATGAAATTAAAACAAAAAAAAATACAAAAGATAAATGAAACAAAAAGCTGGTTCCTTAAAAAGATAAATAAAATTGATAAACCATTAACAAGATAAACCAATAAAAAAAAGAGAAGATCCAAATAAGCTCAATTAGAAACAAAATGAGATATTTACAACCAATACCACAAAAATACAAAGATCATTCAAGGTTAATGAACATCTTTACATGCATAAACTAGAAAACCTAGATGAGATGGATAAATTCCTGGAAATATACAGCCCTCCTAGATTAAACCAGGAAGAAACAGAAACTGTGAAGAGACCAATAACAAGCAGTGAGATTGAAATGATAATAAAAATAATTGCCAACAACAACAACAACAAAAAGTCCAGAACCAGATGAATTCACAGCTGAATTCTATCAGACATTCAAAGAAGAATTGGTACCAATGCTATTGACACTATTATACAAGATAGAGAAAGAGGGAATCTTACCTAAATCATTCCATGAAGCTATTATCACATTAATACCAAAACCAGAAAAGGACATGATTAAAAAAGAAAAAAAAAAAGAAAACTACAGACCAATAATTCTGATGACTATAGATGTAAAAATCTTAAACAAAATACTAGTGAATCGAATCCAATAGCATATCAAAAAGATAATCCACCATGATCAAGTGGGTTTCATATCAAGGATGCAGGGATGGTTTAACATATGCAAGTCAATAAATGTGATACAGTACACAAACAGAATTAAAAACAAAAATCACATGATTATCTCAATAGATGCAAAAAAGGATTTGAGAAAATCGAACATTCTTTTACGACTAAAACACTCAGCAAAATTGGCGTAGAAGGGGCATATCTTAAGGTAATAAAACACATCTAAGACAAACCCACAGCTAACATAATACTGAACCAGGAAATGTTGAAAGCATTCCCCCTGAGAACTGGAAGAAGACAAGGATGCCCACTCTCACCACTTCTATTTAACACAGTACTGGAAATCCTAACCACAACAATCATACAAGAGAAAGAAAGGCATCCAAATCAGTAAAGAATATCAAACTATCACTGTTTGCTGATGATATAATCATATAACTCAAAAATCATAAAGACTCCTCCAAAAAGCAACTAGAACTGGTAAATGAATTCAGCAAAGTTTCCAGATACAAAATTAATGTACACAAGTCAGTAGCTCTTGTGTATACCAACAGTGACCAAGCTGGGAATCAAATCAAGAACTCAACCCCTTTTACAATAGCTGCAAAAAAAATAAATTTAATTTAAAAAAATTTACTTAGGAATATACCTAACAAAGGAGGTGAAAGACTTCTACAAGGAAAACTACAAAACATTTCTGAAAGAAATAATATACAACACAAACAAATGGAAAAACATCCCATGCTCATGCATGGGTAGAATCAATATTGTGAAAATGACCACACTGCCAAAAGCAATCCAGAAATTCAACACAATCCTCATCAAAATACCACCATCATTTTTCACAGAACTGGGAATAACAAGCCTGAAATTCATACAGAACCAAAAAAGACCCTGCATAGCCAAAGCATGACTAAGCAAAAAGAATAAATCTGGAGGCATCACGTTACCTGACATCAAACTATTGTATAGGGCCATAATCACCAAAACAGCATCATACTGGTATACATATAGGCACACTGACCAATGGAACAGAATAATAATAACACAAAAAAAAAAAACAGAAATAAAGCCAAATAACCACAGCCAACTAATCTTTGACAAAGCAAACAAAAACATAAAGTGGGGAAAGAACACCCTATTCAACAAATGGTGCTAGGAAGCCACATGTAGAAGAATGAAGCTGGACCCTCATCTCTCACCTTATACAAAAATTAACTCAAGATGGGTCAAGGACTTAAATCTAAAACCTGAAACCATAAAAGTTCTAGAAGATAACATCAGAAAAACTCTTCTAGACATTGGCTTAGGCAAAGACTTCATGAGCAAAAACACAATAGCAAATTCAAGAAAAACAAAGATAAATAGATTGGACTTAATTAAACTAAAAAGTTTCTGCACAGCAAAACAAACAATCAGCAGAGTAAACAGACAACCCAGAAAAGGGGAGAAAGTCTTTGCTTTCTGTACATCTGAGAAAAAACTAATATCCACAAGGAACTCAAACAAATCAACAAGAAAAAAAATTAAACAATCCCATCAAAAATTGGGCTAAGGACATGAATAGACAATTCTCAAAAGAAGATATGCAAATGACAAACAAACATACTCAAAATGAAAAAATGCTCAACATCTTTAATGATCAGGTAAAGGCATATCAAAACCACAATGCGAGAATAGCCATATTCAAAAAATTAAAAAAAATCCATGTTGGCATGGATATAGTGAGAAGGGAACAGTTTTACACTGCTGGTGGGAATGTTAACTGGTACAACCACTATGAAAAACAGTGTGAAGATTGCTTAAAGAACTAAAATTAGAGCTACCATTTCATCCAGCAATTCCACAACCGGGTATCTACCCAGAGGAAAAAAAAGTCGTTATATAAAAAAGAAGCTTGCACCCACATGTTTTTAGCAGCACAGTTCACAATTGCAAAAATATGGAACCAGCCCAGTGGTCCATCAATCAGCAAGCGGATAAAGAAATTGTGATATATATACCATGGAATTCTACTCAGCCATAAAAATGAATGAAATAATGGCATTCATAGCAGCCTGGATGGAATTGGAGACCATTCTAAGTGAAGTAACTCAGGAATGGAAAACCAAACATCATATGTTCTCACCTGTAAGTGGGAGATAAGCTATGAGGATACAAAAGGCATAAGAATGATACAATGAACTTTGGGCACCCAGGGGAAGTGGGGGGAGGGAGATGAGACAAAAGACCACACACAGCGTACAGTGTACACTACTTGAGTGAGGGGTGCACTGAAATCTCAGAAATCACCACTAAAGAACTTATTCATGTAACCAAACCCCACCTGTTCCCCAAAAACCTACCAAAATAAAAAATAAATAAACTGCAAGATAAACTCCACAAAAAAAGTATCAAGGAAAAACACAGTAACATATATGATAGTAACATTTGTGATATATGGAAACATATCACAAATTACACAAAACAGACATGCAAAAGATTTATTAGGGGAGATTTTTCTGAAGGACAAAGAGTAGAGGGAGAAGGACAAGGAAAGGTAATAATATAAGAACTGAAATAAATCTATATTAATTATCATATACCTAAGTGAAGATACATTTAAAAGATGGTAAAAAAATATGTTCTGAATTTGGTGTAAATGTTGGCCACATATGTGTTTGTGAAACTACTAGTTTAAATGCTTTTTATATTGATTGACATTGGATATGTAATAATGAAGTACAAGCATAACAACTTAAAATATATTTTTCAGTCAAAAAAAGAAAGAATGATACAAGAAAGCACTACCAAAAAAGAAGAAAATCAATTATCATCAGCCAGCTTTACATTTAATGGACTACAAGTTTTAACAATTTATATGGCACTCCAGTGACCAAAAAGAAAGATGTGGTCTTTGCATGATATAACTTATAATAAAAAGAGAAAAGCTAAAGAACAAGAATCACTGTGTAAATTTTATGTATGTGTAATATTATTGTAAAATTGAAGTCAATTTATAACTTTAGGTTACAGTTTATTGTTAACGATTACATCTACTTTAAGAATGGAACAACAGATCAAATTTACAGATGCAGAAACAAAAGACCTGAAAATGATGTAATTTCTGAAGGTGACGGCTTGATTGAGTAAGAAACAAATTCCAGATTTTTCTGACTCTAAGTGCTATATTATTTTCATCATAAAATAATGCCGAGTCAAGCAGCCATGATAAATGAAAAATGGCATCCCCAGTATTCATTATACAGCAATGTAAAACACTCAGATGCTCATGCAGTTTCTCTATTGGGTAGATGACCTGGTCATAGAAAACAATGACTTTTCCCTGAAAAGTAGGCAGAACTAGGTCTATAGCTGGCCCTGCTAAGAAAGTCCCAAGGTCAAAGCTGAATTGTTTCAGAGTTTCGAATTTACTGCAAACCCAGTGGGCCCCAAAATAATGATTATCCTGACCAGTCATGCTTCTAAATTCCAGAAGGCACGATGATGATTCAACAAATAAGAAAGCTCATAATAGCCTAATTCTCTGTAAAATGTGAGATTAAATCCCAGCAAGTTGTCTTCTGACGGGAGCTACATTTTCACATCACCGGATAATTCTGTTGATTATCAAGTATTATAAAATTCTTAATGCTTATAACCCTTTAGCATTCATACTTTACCCCTATGTGGTTGTGGGTATTGTAAAATATCACCAGTATATTGACTGTGTCTCTGTTTTCAAGAGAAATTTGAACACAAAATTTGCTCAACATAAGAACATAGCAATGAAGCCTCTCAATGCTCCCATGAAGCAGGCACTTAGTGTCCTGGGAGCTGTGTTGGACGGTTTGTCACCACTTACTGCTGGCCGCAGTTGCCATGGGGGGTAATTTGAGAAGCTGCACATGTTGCAGTGATTGTCCAAAGAACAGCAGACTGTCCAAATAGCTAATCAATCTGTTGGGGCCAAGCAGAGAGAAAGCTTCCAAGTAATGGTGCCAATGGCAGAGAAATCGGGGACACCAGACTGGAGAGAGGGTCCAAAGCAGATGGTGAGAGTTGTAGCCACCTGGAATAATTCTCTGGGTCAATTAGCAAGCACCAGTGGTGGCTTTCTGGGTAATTCTTCAAGCCATGGAAGGAAAAATGGCTGCCTTAAGAATATAGTTTGGAGTCTAAGGTGAGAGAGAGATTTTTTAAAATTTACCTTCCCTTTTTATCATGACTACCAGCTCCCTTATGTCATCACCTCATTCTCCACTAAGCCTGGACCCCATTGATGTTGACCTTAATTTCTATCCACAGGAAACATTATCTAACTTGCTAATGTTACCTTACATTAGGACCTTAGACGAACAGCACAGTGCTGGGTCTATTCCCGAATTTAGGCTACCAAGTACAATACAGAAAAAGAAAAGCATGCATTATTGTTAGACAAATTTCAATCTTCAGAGAAGATTGGGTTCTTCTGAGAAACAGGACCAATGAGATGTGTGGCGGGGAGTGGGGGGGAATATAGTATTGCCACATAATGATATTTTGGGCAACAATTGAATATAAAACAGCAACCCCATAAGATTATGATGGAACTAAAAAAATCCTATTGCTGGCCAGGAGCAGTAGCTCACACCTGTAATCCCAGCACTTTCGGAGGCCGAGGCGGGCAGATCACCTGAGGTTGGGAGTTTGAGACCAGCCTGACCAACATGGAGAAACCTCATCTCTACTAAAAATATAAAATTAGTCGGGCGCGGTAGCACATGCCTGTAATCCCAGCTACTCGGGGGGCTGAGGCAGGAGAATCATTTGAACCTGGGAGGTGGAGGTTGTGGTGAGCTGAGATTGCGCCACTGCACTCCAGCCCAGGCAACGAGAGCGAAACTCCGTCAAAAAAAAAAAAAAAAATTCCTATTGCCTAGTGACTGTATAAATCTGTAGCCATTACAGTGTTGTAGCACAATGCACTACCTTTTCTGTTTAGATATGTTTAGATACACAAATGCCATTGTGTTAAATTTTCTATAGTATTCAGTACAGTACCATGTGTACAGGAGATATATATATAGGAGATATATATATATATATATCAATAGGATATATATATATATCAATAGGATATATATATATATCAATAGGATATATATATATATCAATAGGATATATATATATATCAATAGGATATATATATATATCAATAGGATATATATATATATATTTTTTTTTTTTAATGGGAGATATATTATCTCATGTAGCCTGGGCATGTAGTAGGCATACCCTCTAGGTTTATGTAAGTACACTCTTTGATGTTCACACAATGAACATTATGAGCCCGTTTTCACACTGCTGCATACCTGAGACATGGCTAGGGAGGCCTCACAGTCATGGCAGAAAGCAAGGAGGAGCAAGTCACTTCTTACATGGATGGTGGCAGGCAAAAAGAGAGAGCTTATGCAGAGGAACTTCTCTTTATAAAACCATCAGATCTTGTGAGATTTACTTACTATCATGAGAACAGAACGTGAAAGACTTGCCCCCATGATTCAATTACCTCCCACCGGGTCCCTCCCACAACCCATGGGAATTTAAGGTGAAATTTGGGTGGGGATACAGAAAAACCGTATCAAAACCATTTCTCAGAATATATCCCCAGTGTTAAGCCACTCAGGACTCTGTGTGTGTATATTTAAATCTCTCTCTCTCTCCCTTCCTCCCTCCTATCTCTTTCTCCTCTCCCCAGCCCTCTCTCTGAGGTTATATACCATATGTATTACAGTCCTATATGTATAAATCTACTGAGAGAGAGAGAGAGATTATTTCAAGTAATCAGCTTATGTATTTGTGGAAGTGCAGGTTCAAAATCTGCAGGGTAGGTCACTAATCTGGAGATGCAAGAAGAGTCACAGTCTAAGCCTGAAGGCAGACAGGTGGCAGAATTCCTTCTTGACCAGGTGATATTAGTCTTTGTTCTATTAAGACCCTCAATGGAGTAGATGAGACCACTCACATTAAAGATCATAATCTGCTTAAAGTCCACTGGTCTAAACAATCATCTCAGAGGTCTCCAACCCTGGTCCATGGATCCATACTGGACTATGGCCTGTTAGGAACCCAGCTGCATAGCAGGAGGTGACCTGCGGACAAGTGAGCATTACCACCTGAACTCCACCTCCTTTCAGATCAGCTACAGCATTAGATTCTCCATGGAGCACGAACCCTATTGTGAATTACACATATGTGGAATCTAGGTTGTGTCTCATTATGAGAATCTTAAGCCTGATCTCAAAACCATCACCCACCCCAGCCATGGAAAAATTGTCTTCCACAAAACTGATTCCTGGTGCCAAGATGTTTGGGGACCACTGGTAAATCTCATTCAAAAGACACCTTCCCAGAAACATCCATAATAATGTTTAACCAAATATCTGGGCACTGTGGCCCAACCAACTTGGCACATAAAATTAACCATCACATTATGGATCCTGGACCTTCCACCCATTTCTCTTTACTGAGTTCCATAAATACGTAACATTGAACATTCCCGTGTGAATGTAGCATAGGCACCTTCAACTCCAGGGATGCAAAAGTGAGCTTTTCTACCCTAGAAAACCAGCTCTTTATCCTACATTTTCTGTTCTGTTCATCCACAGCATCATCAGTTACCTAGTCTCTAAGGCAGAAAGCTCGTTTATCTTTCTGTCTCTCCCTTATAATCAATCACAAACTCCTCTCACAGTTACTGCTTAGATATTTCTTGACTCTCCTTCTCATCTTGCCCCCTGACCCCACTGCTCTGGTTCACCCTTATGACACAGTTTTGGCTGAACATAATAAAAAGCCATGTGCTGAAGCCAGCCAAGAATGTCAGCCAGATACTCCCTAAGAACACCACTGCTGGACTGAAACTGACTCAAGTCTTTGAGGCTTCAATCCTCTAAGCCACATAACCATGGTCATAATATAGCTAGGACCTCATCCTCACTTGCCTCATTGTGCTGATTGCTGATACAACAACCACAGATGCCAGCTTTAAACACCGAAAGGAACACCTAAGGGACACACTTATCAGACAATTAACCATTCAAGCCACAGGTAAGTCTGTGTGGTCCAAAGATCCATGGAGCTCCAAGAAACTGTTAGAACCCAAATTCTCCATGTCCATTATCTTTGTTTAACAGCTAAGTACTAGCATCTATGCACATAAATACACACACACACACCCTCTGAGGACCCTCTAAGAATGCACCCCTCTCATATTTGCCTCATCAAAAAAGTCACCCACGGTGGTTGTTAAAAGTTCAAATTTCTTGTTCTGGGGATCATACCTGGGATGAAAACTGGAGAAATGTATTTTCACCTGGGTGCAGTTGAATTTTATGCATAGGAAAGTTTGGGAAACACTGCTTTACCAATATCATCTCCACAACTCACTGTGTGCTTTTAACATACAACAAATTCCTCTCTTCTCTCTTTTTCTCTTGCTCACTTTCTTCCCTTCCTACTATACCCCACCATTGTGCTCGCTAAAATTTCTCTGGCAAGATCATAAAGCCCCAATAAATTCTGAGCTTCTTTCCTGAATGCTAATCCTATGTTTTGACCAGGTTCTCTGCTAAGGACACTCCCTTGACATGTTTTCAATGAGGCTGCTCATACCGCATGTACATTTGGATTAGAAAGTTGAGGCTATATCTTTATTCCTTCCTTCTAATATTTGCATCTCTTGCCTTTTTAAAGACCCCTTTAGATACTTGTAACTGTGAACAGAGTGAGAGAAGGGCTGTAGATAGCATAGCCTGAGGATAATATTGAATCCAGGAAAGTATTCCTGGTTACAGGAGATATTAGAGCAGGGTCTGAGAGGGAAAAAGTGGGGAACATATGGAAGATAAAAGAATTGTAAGATTTCTGGAAATCAGAATTCCGAGCATACATGGAATTCAAAAATTCAAAAATTACCTTTTGAAATCTGAAGGGACACTTCCTGCATTGTAACATAAAATGAAAAGAGGACTGTGACTATAGACACACTTCAATCTGTATATTTTTGGGGGAAAATTGACAGAATTCCCACCTAATAACTCGTGTTTACTCATTCAAGAAGGAGGCAAGGCTCTCTTCCCAGAATAGGGAGCTTGAAATGGGCTATTAGAGCTTTGAGAAGAGTAGGAAAGATTTGAAGTTGTTGCTGTGAAAAGTGTGAGAGCAAACTGTCTGAAGCAATACAGGATTGAAGACTATGTACATTGACATTGGGGTTGGGGTGTGTGTGTGTGTGTGTGTGTGTGTGTGTGTGTTTCCCTAATAGGTGATCTGTTTTGTGGTTACAGACCCAGAGAAGGCAGGTAGCTGAGTTTATCCATGCAGGTGGTAGGAGTGTATGTGGCATGGGTTTTTAGATCATGAGTATAAGAGATGAGAGAAGAGAGTTTAGAGAATTCACAAGAGTCCGGGCAGTGGCTCATGCCTGTAATCCCAGCACTTTGGGAGGCTGAGGCAGGTGGATCACCTGAGGTCAGGAGTTCAAGACCAGCCTGGCCAACATGGTGAAACCCCATCTCTACTAAAAACACACAAAAAAATTAGCCGGGCATGGTGACACATGCCTGTAGTCCCAGCTCCTCATGAGGCTGAGGCAGGAGAATTGCTTGAACCTGGGAGGTGGAGGTTGCAATGAGCCAAGATCACACGACTGCTGTCAAGCCTGGGCAATAGAGACAGGCTCCATCTCAAAAAGAAAAAAAAGGAGAATTCACAAGAGAGTGATTGAAATGTTGACTATTGCTGAGATTCTGCTTGGTGTGAAGGACATCTATCCCAACCATTATGTACCTGGGATGATGACCGTAAATATACTCAAGGTCTCTGTTGACTTTCTGTAATTTGGACTGAAGTCAAAATTCCATGGATCTATTGAAATTCTGAGTCCTGTGAAATTAATGTTACCTCAGAGCCAACACCAATCACTCCTGAAAATCCTAGGTGTTTTTCATTCACCGCTACCCATCATCTATGCACATGACTCTGAGTCATATGGGGAAGACTAAACGGAAGGTCCCTTTGATGTTCTTGTCTTATTATAACATGATCCTTCCCTAAATAAATACAGTTATGTTTTGTCTTTGTTTTTGATATAATGTTTGTGCATATTCATGGGGTACATGTGATATTTTGTTACATGCATAGAATGTATAGTGATGGAGTCAGGGTATTTAGGGTATCCATTACTTAATAGTATCAAATTATGTGTTGGGTACATTTCAAGTCCTCTCTTACTAGATATTTTGAAATATGCAATACAATGTTGTTAACTATCATCACCCTACTATGCTATTAAACATTTGAATGTATCCCTTCTTTTTAACTGTATATTTGTACCCATTAACTAACCTGTCTTCATCCCCCCACCCCACTCACACACCCTTCCTAGCCTCTGATATCTATTATTCTACTCTCTTCCTCCATGAGATCAATTTTTTAGACCTCACATATAAGTGAGAACATGTCATATTTGTCTTTCTACACCTGGCTTATTTCATGTAACATAATAACTTCTAGTTCCATCTATGTTGCTGCAAATGACAGGACTTCATTCCCTTTTATGGCTGAATAGTATTCTACTGTGTTTATATTCCACGTTTTCTTCATCCATTAGTTCACTGATGAACACCAAGATTGATTTCATGTCTTTGATACTGTGAATAGTGCTGCAATAAACATAGAAGTGCATGCACCTTTTTAAAACACTGATTTCTTTTCCTTTGGATAAATACCCAGTAGCAGGATTGCTGGAGTATATGACAGTTCTATTTTTATTTTTTTGAGAAATCTCCATACTATTTTTCATAATGTCTGTACTAACTTACATTGCCAGCAACAGTATGTGAGTCCCGTTTTCTCCACATCCTCACCAGCATCTCCTACTTTTGTGTTTTTAGTAATAGCCATTCTAACTGAGATAAGATGATATCTCACTATGGTTTTGATTTGCATGTTCCTGATGATTAGTGATGCTGAGCATATTTTTTTAAACATATCCATTGTCATTTGTAGGTCTTCTCTTGAGAAACATCTATTCATGTCCTTTGCCCACTTTTAAATGGGATTTTTTTTTTTTTTTTTTACTATTGAGTTGAATTTCTTGTATATCTGTATATTGGTGCTTTGTCAGGTAAAGAGTTTGCAAATATTTTCTTCCATTCAACGGGTTGTTTCTTCACTCTGTTGATTTTCTATTTTGCTGTGCAGAAGCTTTTTCATTTAGTATAGTCCCATTTATTTATCTTTATTTTTGTTGCCTGTGCTTTTGAGGTCTTATCCCTAAAATCTTTGCCTAGACCAATGTCCTGAAGTGTTTTTCCTGTTTTCCTCTATTAGTTTTGTAGTTTCAGGTCTTATGTTAAGTCTTTAATCCATCATGAGTTGATTTCTGTATATGGCGAGAAATAGGGGCCAGTTTCATTCTTCTGCATTTGGCAATCCAGTTATCCCAGAACCATTTATTGAAGAGGTTGTTTCATCTCCAATGGATATTTTTGGTGCCTTTGTTGAAAATGAGTTGGCTACAAATGCATGGATTTATTTTTGTGATTATTTCTATGATGTTCATTCTGTTTCTTTGTTTATAACAATAACATGCTGTTTTGGTTATTATAGCCTTGTGATGTATTTTGAGGTTAGATAATGTGATATCTCCAGGTTATTTTTTCCTCTTCAAGATTGCTTTTTTCCTACAGGATTGCTCTTTCTTGTTTTCATACAAGTTTTAAGATTGTTTTTCTATGTCTGTGAAAAATGACATTGGGATTTTGATAGGGATTGCATTGAATCTGTATATTGATTAAGTAGTATGGTCATTTTAACTATGTGAATTCTTCCAATCCATGAGCACATGATATCTTTCCACTTGTTTTTGTCCTCTTCAATTTTGTTCATTGAAGTTTTGTAGTTTTCCTTCCAGAGGTCTTTCACCTCCTTGGTTAAATTTATTGCTAGGTATTGTTTTGTAGCTGTTGTAAATGTGACTGTCTTTTTTATTTCTTTATCATCTAGTTCATTGTTGGTGTATAGAAATGTTACTGAGTTTTGCATGTTGACTTTGTATCCCGCAAATTTACTGAATTGATTTATCAGATCCAAGAGTGTTTTGGTGATCTCTTTAGGTATTTTTAAATATAAGATCATATGATCAGCAGAGAGGTAAAATTTGACTTCCTTTTCCAATTTGGATGCCTTTTATTTCTTTCTCTTGCCTGATTAGTCTGGCTAGGACTTCCAGTACTACATTGAATAGAAGTGGTGAAAATAGGCATAGACATCCTCAACTTGTTCCAAGTTCTAGAGAAAAGGCTTTCAGCTTTTCTCCTTTCAGTGTAAAATTAGCTGTTGGTTGATCATATAGTTACATCACATAGCCCTCATTTGATGTATGTTCCTTCTATGCCTTGTTTGTTGAGAGTTTTTGTCATGAATGAATATTGAATTTTATCAAATGTTTCTTCTGCATCTATCAAGATGACCATATGGTTTTTGTTCTTCATTCTGTTGATGTGACAGATTACATGTATTGTTTTACATATATTGAATCATCCTTGCACTCCTGAGATAAATTGCAATTGATCTTTTTGATGTGCTGTTGGATTAAATTTGCTAGTATTTTGTTAATGATTTTTGCATCTGTATTAATCAGGGACATGGCCTGAAGTTTGCCTTTTTTTGTTCTGCTCTTGTCTGGCTTTGGTACCAAATCCTTGTCTGGATTTGGTAATGCTGGCCTTGTAGAATGGGTTAAAAAGAATAATCTCTTTTTCAACTTCTTGAGTAGTTTGAAAAGAATTCATGTTAGTTCTTCTTCGTAATTTTGGTAGAATTCAGCGGTGAAGCCATCTGGGCTTGGACTTTAATTTCTTGGGAGACTTTTTATTGCTGTCTTATCTCAATATATGTTATTGTTCTGTACAGGTTTCCTATATCTTTCTGATTCAATCTTAGTAAGCTGTATGTATCCAGGAATGTATTCATTTCCTCTAGGTTTTTTTTTTTTTTTTTTTTTGAAAAGGAGTCTCACTCTGTTGCCCAGGCTGGAGTGCAATGGTGCAATCTTGGCTGACTGCAACCTCCACCTCCCGAGTTCAAGCGATTCTCCTGCCTCAGCCTTCTGAGTAGCTGGGACTATAGGCGCATGCCACCACGCCCAGCTAATTTTTGTATTTTTAGTAAAGATGGGGTTTCACCATTTTGGCCAGGATGGTTTCGATCTCTTGACCTTGTGATCTGCCCACCTCGGCCTCCCAAAGTGCTGGGATTACAGGCCTGAGCCACTGCGCCCAGCTTAGGTTTTCTAGTTAATTAGCATATAGTTGTTCATAACAGTCCCTGCTTATCATTTATATTTTGGTGGCATCAATTGTCATAATCACCTTTTTCATTAATGATTTTATTTGGTTCTTCTCCTTTCATTGGTTAGTCTAGCTAGAAGTTTAACTTTTCAAAGAAACAATTTTTCATTTTGGTGATACTTTGTTTTTGTTTTGTTTTGTTTTTTACTTTAGTCTCTATTTCATTTGGCTCTTTTCTGATCTTCATTATTTCTTTCCTTCTACTAATTTTGGGTTTGGTTTTGTATTATTACTTTTCTGGTTCTTTGAGGTACACTGTTAGATTGCTTATTTGAATTCTTTCCCCCTTTTTCATGTAGATGCTTGTTGTTATAAACTTGCCTCTTAGCCCTGCTTTCGCTGTATGTCATAGGTTTTAGTATGTTATATTTCATTTCTCATGTTTCAATAAATTAAAAAAAAACTCTTAATTTTTTCCTTGACCTAATGGTCATTCAGGAGCATGTTGTTTAATTTTCATGAATTTTTACAGTTTCCAAAATTCCTATTGTCATTGACTTATAATTCTATTCCATGGTGGTATGAGAAAATATTGGCATAATTTTGATCTTTAAAAAATTTGTTGAGACTTATTTTGTGTCCTAACATATGGTCTATCCAGGAGCATGTTTCATGTGCTATGAGAGGAATGTATATTCTGTAGCTATTAAGTGAAATGTTCCATAAATGTTTGTTAGATCCATTTGGTCTAAAGCGCAGTTTAAATTTACTGTTTGTTAGCTTTCTATTTTAATGATCGGTCCAATGCTGACAGTGGGACATTGAAATCCTCAACTATTATTGTGTTGGGTCTGTCTCTCCCTTTAGATCTAATATTTGCTTTATATATCTGAGTGCTCTCGTACAGGGACCATATATGTTTAAAATTGTTAAAAACTTCTTGCTGAATTGATCCTTTTATCTTTACATAATGACCTTTTTGCCTCTTTTTACTGTTTTTGACTTAAATTCTGTTTCATCTGATATAAATATAGCTGTTCCTGCTCCTTTTTGGTTTCTATTGGCATGCAATGTCCTTTTTCATCCCTTTACTTTCAGCCTAAATGTGCCATTACAGGTGAGATGAGTTTCTTGTAAGCAACATATAGTTGGGTCATTTGGTTTTGTTTGTTTTAATCCATTCAGCTAGTCTGTATCATTTAAGTGGAAAGTGTAATCCCTTTTCATGTGAGGTCTTATTCTGTCCTTTTATTAATTGATTCTGGCTGTTTTATGTATCTTTTGTCCCTTTATCTCTTATTGTTTATCATTGTGGTTTGGTAGTTTTCTGTAGTGATAACATCTGAGTCCTTTATCTTCCTCATTTGTGTTTTTGCTCTACCTAGTGGGTTTTATGTTTTTGTGTGTTTTCATGATGGTAAATATTATTCCTTCACTTCCACCTGTAGGACTCTCTTGAGTATTTATTGTAGAACTGGTCTAGTGGTGATGAATTCCCACAGCTTTTGTTTATCGAAAAAGATTTTATTCCTTTTTCATTTATAAAGAGAAACTTGGCTGCTTCCTTTTTCTTTTACTTTCAGCACTTTGAATACATCATCTCATTCTCTCATGGGTTTTAAAGTTTCTGGTTAGAATTTTGCTGTTAATCTGTTGGGGGTTACTTTATAAGTGACTAGACAATTTTCTCTTGGTGTTTTGCAAATTTTTTCTGTCTTTGATTTTTGACAGTTTGACTACAATGTGCGCTGGAGAACTTTTTGAATTGTATCCTTTTGGGGGGAATCTGAGAGCTTCCTGTATCTGGATATCTAAATCTGTTGCTAGACTTGGCAAGTTTTTATCTATTATCTTATTATGTAGGTTTTTTTCTTCCTTTCATTTTTCTCTTTGCCTTCTGGGACACCAAAAAAAAAGGGAATATTTTGTCACATTTGGCATCCTATATGTCATGTAAAGCTTTATTCATTCTTTTTTATTCTTATTTCTTTATTTTTGTGTGACTAGGTAATTTCAAAAGACCTGTTCTTAAGTTTCTAAATTCTTTCTTCTACTTGAGTTAGTCTATTGTTAAAGCTCTCAAATGTATTTTGTATTTCATTTAGTTAATTCTCCAGTTTTAGAATTTCTGAGTTTTTAAAAATAATATCCCTCTCTTTGGTAAATTTTTCATTAATAGCCTGATTTTTTCCTGATTTCTTTGTATTTTTTTATATTCTCTTGCAATTCACTGAGCTTCTTTATTATCATTATTTTGAATTATCTATCTAGGATTTTATACATTTCTTTTTCATTGGAATCTCGTTGCAGAATCATTGTGTTTCTTTGGAGGTATCATATTTTCTTGTTTTTTCATGTTTCTTTTGTGCTTACATTCATACCTGTGCATCTGGTGTAATTTTTTTCAGTTTTTAAAGTTTTCTTTCTTATAGGATAACTTTTTCCTGAAGATGTAACTATGGTGGGTAGGGCACTTTGGCTTTTATTCTGGGTTTGTGCTGTAGTGTAGTCTCCACATGATTTATTTGGCTGTAAAAAGTGTCAGTGGTGTCTTTGATTTCCTCAATGACTTAGGGCATGGTTTCTAGGGGTAAACTTTTGCTGGGGACAGGGACATCAGTTGACCAGTCCTCAGGTCCCGGTGGTGGCCCAGTGGGGCCCAAGCCTGGCTGTCCTAAGGCCCCAAGATGGCACTTGCTGTCACTCATGTTATTGAATCAAGGCAGTCTAATTCCTGGGCCTCCAGGCAGCTTGTTTAGGTGCTGAGGAGTGGCAGAAGTTGGCTGAGTGAGAAGGTCCTTAGGTTCTTGAATATTAGACATGACATGGGAAATGGCAGTAGCAATTATTGAACAATCTTCTGGTTCCCAAGGGGTCCACATTGGTGTTAGCAGTGACTGCAATGAGCTGTGCATGTCAGTTCCTAGGCCTGGATGTGGTGCATGAGGGTGGGTGCCAGCTATTGTGGTAGCAACAGGTTGGTTGGGCCCATCATCAGGCCCTCATGGGGAGTGCTAAGTTGCCAATTGTAGTGAATAAGTAGGGTAACACCTAGGAGTCTGATGCTGGGTGGGGGATGATGGAAACCAGGTCAGGAGACCAGTCCTCAGTTTCTCCAGTGGGACATGTGGGTGCTGGCTGTGGTAGGCAAGGGTGGGGTGATCCCTAGGCTCCTGGTTGATTGTTCAGATTGGGTGGCACTGGCTATGCTTCAGTCTTGCTGCTGGGGAAGGTGGGGTTGCTTTCAGTGGTGGTAATTGGGCTCCAAGGATGTGGAGATGAAGGGCTATTGGGCCCCAGGGTAAGATGCAATTTGGTAGGGGCTGGGATCTCAAAATAGTGCCTTTCTATAGCTTCTCAGGACTCAGGAGGCAGGTGTGGAACCTGGTGTGAGATCCCTCTTTGGAGCAATCCATGATGCTCCTGACTACAGGAAGCCACCTATCTTAGTCTCAGGGCCCGTATGGGTTGACAGTTTCTTTTGTGGCAAGGTTTACAAGAGTCTGTGGTGGAAATATGAACCACTGAAGGTCACTCATTTACTCTTTCCCTGGATCGGAAGCCTCTCCAGATTCCTGGCTGATCCTAGGTGGGCAGATTTCCTCACTTTCCTCTCCTTTCTTGCCTTAGGTGTTTCCTGTCACTTCTCTGTTTAATTCCAGCATCGTTCTCTCTTAGATGTTCTATTTGAAGTATAATGATCTCCTCACAATTTTGTTTTTTGTGAGGGAGGGAAGTACTGAATGCCTCTACTCAGCCATCATGAAGCCCTGTTTCAGGAAACCCAATTGGTTTTTTTTCCTTCAAAGTGTCTATGTCTATGACCACCCTGAGCCTTCATCTGATACTGGGAAAAGGTGTATATAATCTCGATCATGTTTACTCAAGTCAGATCTCTATGCGTGACAGCTGGAATTCCTATATTTAAACAACTGAAGAAGAACATAAGGACTATCAGAAACAATCCTAGATACCTTACTACCAACTAGCCAGTGTGAAAGAACTCAGCAGATCCTACAAACCACAGAGATGTGATGGTAATGCCAGTCCTACCCTCTGCTTTAAACACCACATCCACTTAGCTATTGAAGACGAATGTGCTCCAACACAGTCTCTGCACACTGTGATTGTTTCATCCCCATTGACCATAGGGTGTCTATATGAGAGTCTTCAGATTTGTCTCAACCTCAGGGCTGTTGATCACCACCACCCACACCTGGCCACAATAGAAGTGGCTCAATCTGTATGGGTTCTATTGACTTCATGTAAGTATAACCCAATAGTACATTCCCTCATGCCATTACCCTACATATGCTTCATTTCCCACCCAGGGCTTCCCTGGTGGATTTTAAGATGCAAACCCAAGTAGATAGTGTTAGGGACACACAATGAGAATACAATGGAGACAGTAGTTGATGAATAAATTCTTCTTTCATCCTCCAAGATGTACTGTCCTGAGATGTAGTTGACAGCATACTCCTACAAGATCCAGCTATCAGTTTTACTGCCAGCCTGTTATTAACACTCAGATATTTGTTCTCCCTCCTTTTCTGTCTTACCCCTACTTTCCTGGTTTGCATTCCCTAATAACAGCATTTGTCTTAGGCCCTTCTCTTTGGTAAACACCAAAGTAACAACCCATTTTATTCATAGTGTTTGCCACCAGCATTTCTACCTTGGAGAAAACAATGAGTAAATCACTATTATAAAAAGACCATGTGATTTCCTCAACACTGTATTTCTCAAATCCTTAGTGAAGGGCAGTTTCACTGGATTTCTCTCAGGGATCCAGGGCTTGAGCGAATGGAATGGGATACATGTGGAGAATTGAATCTTGACTTTGAATACGTCTTTCTATGTTTGCCAAATTACTTCTGAACTCTCAATTTTGTTAGTATGAATCAGAATTGGTTTGAATTGTGAATGACTGCTACTCAGTACTTATAAACTCTAAATGGCACATTATTCTTCACTTAAACAGCCCTTGCAGGAGCTTCTCATTGTCTTTGAGATGAAATGCATGCACTTCAGCCTTCTACACAGGACCCTCTCACATGGGGCATCTGTGCATCTCTATGGCTTTATCAATTACTACCCCCAACCCTATAATTTACAAGCCAATTTCAGTTTTCCACATATTACCTGGTGATATTCTGCATCTGTACTTTTATTTATGATGTTCCCAATTCCAGAAACTCTAGTTCTATACTTGTCCTTCTTATAAACTTTTCATTCATAAAGACTGCAAAAAAACTTCAGCTTCCTCCAAGACAGTTCCTGGTGTTTCCTGCCCCAACCACAGAACCCCTAAGAAATTATGTTATTATAAAACCATGTGATAATGTTGAGGTTGTTTATTTTCTTGATATCTTTCCAAATAGATCAACTTTTCTGAAAGCAGAGATCAAGTTTTATTTATGTATGTGTTCCTAGGATGTTCAATAATATTGGTTATACAGAAAGTATCAAATAAATAGTTGTTAAATTGTTGTTAAAATTTCCAATAGGGGACATTCAGTGAAAGTCCACTGCATAAAAGCACAGTTGATTGTAAAATGGTACTCAAGGAAAAAATGTTCAAGTTTAGCTACAAGAAAAAGACACAAGAAATAGTGTAGGAAGCCAGGCAACAGGGTTCCGGAAGAAACACAAAAATCAAAGATGACACCAGACCTCTAACTTCTCCCTAACTGTGGACACTTCTCCTAACAAACAGTATCTACTTCTTAACATTTATCTATGAATAAACTCTTTATCTTCATTATTGCTATGGTCTGAATGTTTATGTTCCTCTAAAATTCATATGTTGAAACCTCACCCCCAAGGTGATAATATTAGGAGGTGGCAACTTTGGGAGGTGGTTAAATCATGAGGTCATGTGATATGATTATGTTATTGTCAAATATCTTTGTTTCTAACAACTTTGGACACTTGAACTTAAAAACTCTGTTTAGGAGTATTTACCACAAATGTAATAGAAACAGTTGATACTTTGAAGATTAAAACAAATCATAATAATAATGCTAATATCAGATATAATAATCATAATTGCTACCATGTACTAAGTGCCTACCACATATGATAGGTCCCATATCAGACACTTTATCTTTAACCTTCATAAATAAAATGTAAGTAGCATTTTTTCCACTTTAAAGCTAAGGAAAAAGAAAACAACACAGATAAATTAAAGAATTGGATCTCAGCTCAGGTCTATTTGAGGCCAAACTTGTGCTCTTAAGAATACAAATTGACATAATATAACAGAACTAATTTAATATAAAGTGGATAGCTTTGAGATGGTAAAACTTGAAAAACAAGGATAAGAGTTACATTTGCAGCATTTAGTCCCAAGAGGCAAGATTTCTGAGGAACACACTGAACTGGATTTCTTCTTGCCATTTACTGCTGGCATTCACTTCCGTTTCATTTGCTTTAAGTGTTGTATTTCATTTCAAATTGCTTCCACTGTTACTAAAAATGAATTTAGAGCACAGAGGAAAAAAATACAGACAAGTTATTTCCAGTTCCTTAGATGAGATTTTCAGGGCTTCTGTCATTTGAAAGCAGAATCTTTTCTTTTGCTACTCTTAGAGGTAATTATATAACTAATGATTAGAGTGATTGTGGCTTTTCTTACTGGTTGGGAAATTGCCCTCATAATCTTGTACCACTCTAACCCACCAGTCTCTCAAAATCTTCTCCACGGAATCCAGCAGATAAAAAGATTTAAGAGTAATCATTTGTCACCTTTGCTTTAAAAATTAGACTTATAAATGGAAAACTCAGTTTTTGTAAAGAGCTGAGGTTTTTGTTTTTGTTTCTGAACAAAGACCGGGATTTAATAGCATACAGTCGAAAAGAAAAGGAGAACATCCTCTGTAAGGCTGAGGTTTCCCCAACCACAGTAGCAGAAATGGACATTAAGGCCACCTAAAAGGGAACTTTAACAGAAGGGAGGGAAGGTCAGAGCTGTGACTCAAGCAGCACGCCAGAGCTGGTTCTGGGAAAATGACCAGCTGTGGCTGGAAGCCCAGGCTGGACCAGCCATCCTGGATTAGAAACCATGCTTTGGGGAAAATGTCTGAACATGTAAGCATTAACCAATGAGCCTGACCTGAGAAATCCAAGTATGAGCCTCTCCACATTCCAGGCAGGGACTGTGCCAACCTGTGTGTGTTAACCACACACTGGATTACATGGAGCAGCTTGCAAGAGAGACATGTTATGGCAGCAACAAGAACAAAAACAGGCAAAAACCTGATTTCACTTGTGCACTGAGTGAATTCTACAGTTTGTCCTTAAATAAAATTGGGACTCTGGAATGGGTAGTTGGTATTGAGTAAGTCTCTGAATTATCTTAACAAGTCATGCAGGCAGTGAGGGATTTCTTTAGAAAGATGCTGGACTTCCTCCTAATCTGAAAAATGGGGTCCCTACCAGTTTTAATTTTGAAATGAGAGATATGTTCATATTAGCACTCCAATCTGTTAATGTGTGTTATACCAGTTGCATATACATTTCTGCTAATTGAGTAAGCTGAATACAGCTTCTCTATTACATTATATGCAACCAATTCTAATTTATGATTTGCATGTATTGTGTTAGAGGGAGTAGATCCTCCCTAACCAATGAAATTAAGATTGCAGAGTCCAGAATTGGCAAAATGAAGCAGAAGTACCCTTAGAGAAATCTGCTTTAATAAGGCTTATTTTAGTCTGATTGTGTTACACATTATCAACTCACAATTTTCATAACACTGAGAAGCTCTTATTTCAAGTTGATCACATGTTGATGATCTTAAACAAATTATTATTTCCTTCAGTTAACCAAGATGAAATCCTCACATCAGCACTCTCAAATTATTGTAAGCTGAATGATTGTGATATATATTATATCCCAGGTTCATAATGCAATTGTTTTTATAAACATAGGTTTATGACTTTATATTTTGGGAACCGTAATATTTTTTGTAATGTCTAACTGTAGCATTCTTTTAGGAATGCACAGCAGTGTAACTGTATATTTCAAAAGGTAGGAGTACTAATTAGAGCTTTAAATGTAAGTTGAGTATCTGGACCTTATTGAGGATTGTGCTGCCTTCTTAATTCTACATAATATTTATGTACTACGCTACATATTTTCAAACCACTCTTCTCATTGATGACTTATTCAATCTCACTATCAGTGAACATTGAAAAGGGTAAGCATAAAACCCCCAACTGAGGGATTATAGAAAATAGTAGCTTCCCGAAAATCAATAGATATGAACATACATCTTGATCTTTTTGGAGATTATTTTTTAGGAGGTATAATCTTCACAATTTCTCTGGCTTGACATCTAGACTTTCATAAGCTCCAAGAGTTCAGAGGGACTGGGGTCTTCATCGCATTGATCAGTTTATTACCCAACAGTCCCAAAGTCCTCCTAAAATTAGTCCTTTGGCAGAAGTACATCCCAACTCCATTAGTGCTAGACAAAAAGCACTAGGTAAGTTATCATGTACAGCCCCTCCTCCCAATAGACCTAGAATACTGTATTGATCTCTGCTTGTTGAGTGGAACAACAAATATATTTATTCCTCAATGACGCCAAAAATCTAGTTTTGTGCCTAGACACCAGGTTTCCAATATTTAGAAGAATTAAGACCATTTGCTCAACTGTCCAGACAATTTAAAACAAAAAAAAAACAAGGAACACATTCTTGACTTTGTGTTCCTCTACATTAACTAATTAATGCATTAATTAATTTTAAGTTTCCATATTGGCCTCTCTCAGCAAATGAGGTTAATTTGTGAAAATTCTCAGGAATCTCCAAGGCTAAAGCACCAGTGTAAGCAGGTTTTCTGCCTGATGTTTCTGGGTGCTTACCAATCAGTAGCACTTCCGTTAACTGCCAACTGATACGTGAGTGCTGTAAACCAGACACATGACATCCCACCTTCCATCCCACAGCATTGTTTGGCTGCAAGACATGGAGCTTGGCCGCTGACTCCTCTCAAGACTTCTGGAAAATAAGAAAAAATAATCAAAAAAAGCAAAAATCGAGGGTAGCCTGATTTAATCTGGGATGGATTTCAGGTGCTGCAGAGGTAAGAAAATATGACCCTGTACCTAGTAATCATATCTTTAATAGATTACACTTTTGAAATTTAGTATTTGTTAATTTGAAATGAACAGTGTATTTTTCACCTATTCCACTATCAGGGGTACATTGATATCTCCGTCTCTTTAAATTCATCATATTAGCATTTTCCAAAGCAGTGATCATACATCCAAATTTATCTCTTTCTCTAATAGAAAGAGATTTGTACGGTCAAATGTCCTACTAACACCGATTCAATCTGAAAAAGTAATCAGAGTTAAGTGTCTGTATCAGGAAATAAAAAAAATTAATTCCTCTTCAATTGCAAATTTCCATTTCCATTACCTCAAAGACAAGCATATCACTTGTTTATATCTAGTAAAGCACATGGGAATTGCTGTCTTGAAGGATAATTAGGAATATAATAAAATTTTGTTTTTGTAATACATAAAGAGAAAGAAAAAAATGCAAAATGCAAAACAGAAGTAAAGTTTCGACAAAGGAACCAAAGGTGAGAAAAAGATAGGGCTGGGAGATGATTCATGGAGCTGCCATTTCTGCACAGCTGAGCAAAAGGCACTGGCAACTTCTTCAAGGAAACTTGTCCAAGGTATTTGCAAAGATGTTTCTGGACAGGAAGCAGATTTGCTTAGATTCCAAATTTCTAAAGTTGGAGTCCTCCTCCCATCTCCTGACATGTTCCAGGGTGATAAAAGTAACATCTCTGTCCAAAGGCAGATTTGTTTTCTGACCTGAAAATTTGTTTCTGATTAGAATTATAATGTCTCTCTTCAGAGAGAAAGATAGGCAAATGTGCTTGTGGTCCCCTCATGAGGTTGGAGAGCTTTCTAAGCTCAGTGTTCTTCAGGCATAACCACAACCCACTGTGTGAGCAGCATTCACCTGGGCCTGCTCCGCATCACCTTCTTTGGGACTGGGAGGACAAGAGGAAGTGATGCAAGCCTAAGTCTCATGCTGTCTATTGTGCCATGAGCAAGAAACAGTCTAACTCCACTTAGGCTCACTGTCGCCTTGCTGTGATTGTGTGGCAGGCCCACCCAGCAGCTTCAGTAGTAACTGCTGCTTAGGAATTGCTTGACTGATTGGCAGGTGGATTTAGAAATGTAAACTTTGGTCTTAGACTTATATTCTTTGCTCTGTTTAAAAGAAGGAAACTAGAAAATGTGTAACAGGCCTGATGGCACATAGTGTGGAAAGAAGTCTTCATAGGAAAATATCAG
Organism: Homo sapiens; assembly: GCF_000001405.40. Lineage (NCBI taxonomy): Eukaryota > Metazoa > Chordata > Mammalia > Primates > Hominidae > Homo > Homo sapiens. Next base: position 17,925,504 of record NC_000005.10, on the reverse strand, counting down.
TACAGGGTTGAGAAATACCCCACCTCTGCTGAGAAGGTCAAATAAAGGCTATCCAACGTGTGTGTGCGCGTATGTTTGTGTGTGTGCATATGTGTTTGTGTGTGTGTGTCTCCAACGTAGTGTGTGTGTTTTCATCTCAAGCATTCAAGCTCTCTGTGTCTGGGATTGAAATGGGAATTGGGAGACAACAAATCTGAGATGTTCCATATGTAAATATAAGATAAAATGGACTTCTACTACACGCACTCTCAGAAACACACATATTTGTAAGCTCTAGGGGAGAAATGTTCTGAAAGATCCTGTTGACCAAGGGGAGATAAATTTAAATTAGTAGCATATTTCCTATTAATATTAATTTGTTATATATAAAATAGTGTTAAAATTTCCTTAAATTTTTTACTTCATTTCAGTGAAAATAAAAATATTGTTAATGATTTCACAGAATTAGCTATTTCATGGAAACAACTTATTTTTCTAAACACTAGTCAAAAAAAGAACTAGACAAAGCACCAAAAATTTACCATTAGTGTGAACGTTTTGATTTCTGTAAAATGCAAATATCTCTAGAAGGAACAAAATTAGCAATAATTATCAAAACTGATAATTGTGAGTCAATTTCAAATTATCTGGAAAGAGAACTTTGGTTAAAAAAAGGAGCAAACCATGTAATTATTCATGACCAACTAAAACTCAAAATTGTTGAATTGATTGAAAGGTCGTTAATCAGGAATATTGCTTTACATAGTGGCGTATCTGACAAAATCTGTGTCAAAGAGGTTATTTTCGGCCGGGCGCGGTGGCTCATGCCTGTAATCCCAGCACTTTGGGACGCCGAGGTGGGCAGATCACGAGGTCAGGAAATCGAGACCATCCTGGCTAACACGGTGAAACCCCGTCTCTACTAAAAATACAAAAAAAAAAATTAGCCGGGCGTGGTGGCGGGCGCCTGTAGTCCCAGCTACTGGGGAGGATGAGGCAGGAGAATGGCGTGAACCCGGGAGGCGGAGCTTGCAGTGAGCCGAGATCATGCCACTGCGCTCCAGCCCGGGCGACAGAGCAAGACTCCGTCTCAAAAAAAAAAAAAAAAAAAGAGGTTATTTTCTATCTAAACTAATTTGATCAAAGACTTTATAAAAGCCAATGCTTTCAAACTAATGAAATTCTAGTATCTGCTTTCTGAATGTTAGCACTCCCCTTCTCCTTTATAAATCTCATCTGTCATTTCAATATTTGCCTTCAGTTTCCCTTCCATGTTTTCTTTTTTTTTTTTTTTTTTTTTTTTTTTTTTTTTGAGACGGAGTCTAGCTCTGTCGCCCAGGCTGGAGTGCAGTGGCGCGATCTCGGCTCACTGCAAGCTCCGCCTCCCGGGTTCACGCCATTCTCCTGCCTCAGCCTCCCGAATAGCTGGGACTACAGGCGCCCGCTACCACGCCCGGCTAATTTTTTGTATTTTTAGTAGAGACGGGGTTTCACCGTGTTAGCCAGGATGGTCTCGATCTCCTGACCTCGTGATCCGCCCGCCTCGGCCTCCCAAAGTGCTGGGATTACAGGCGTGAGCCACCGCGCCCGGCCCCCTTCCATGTTTTCTTATGTTCCTCCAACCATATCCAGCCCTTAGTGTAATGGAAAATTATATTCTCTAGATCAATCCCTCACCCGAGAAACATCTGAGCAAAGCACTCAAAAAGAACACAGAACAGAGTGGGCAAGAATTCTTTCTACAAAGAAAATGAATGTTAGGAATTAGAATGAAACACACAGTCCACCCGCTATAGCCACAGGTTCCTGCGCAACTGATTCCAGCCAACCAAGGATCTAAATATTAAAAAAAAAAAAATGCAATAATAATAAAAATCACACTAAAACAATATAGTATAACAACTACTTACATAGCATTTACATTGTACTAAGTATTATAAGTAACATAGACATTATTTAAAAGTTCTATGAAAAAACTATGCCATTTCATTTCACAGACTTGAGCATCCCACCTGGGTCTTGGAACCAATTACCCATGGACACCAAGGGACAACTGTACTAATTAGATATATGCATTTACTTGCTAAACTGCTATTAAAATATTTATTTGACACGATTAGTATTTATTGTCTTTAAAATCCATTTTGACCAATATTTTTTATTGAAAGAATAAAAATTTCATTTTGAGGTCAAATGATTGTGCAGTATTTACAAGCCTTAATGCTTATTATGTGACAACATGATGTATTGATGACATACACATTTTTCAGTGTGGCCTGCCTAACATTCCCAAACTTCATATAAAAAAACTTTACTAAAAATTTCTCTATTTTTTCTTTTAATGTAAACTTACTAATGCATTCTGCTAAATATATACATAAAAGAAAAAAATGGTATTGTTAATAGTATTTCTTGTTTGGTATTTATGAGGAGCATTTTTTAAATAAAAGAATCCTGTTTACCTTCTCTTCAAAGAAAAAACAAAAACCTGAAGAACTATTTCAGGAAATCACTAAATTTTGGACCATTGACAAATTGCTGGCATAAAATTGAGGGAAAAATATTTGAAGGATATAAATGAAAGTTAACTTATTGCAAATCAAATTCTAGTTTGGGGATTTTAAAATTTCCATGTGTTTATTCATTATTAGAGAGATTTATGTTTTATTTATACTTTTGCAAAGTTAAATAACTTCAAATGATAAAATCTTGTTACACTTTTTCCAATGCTTATCTAATGATATGGTTGTTTCATACCTGCACTTCACAGTTTTAGCATATTTGTCTGCTGTTTTATATGAATAACTTACTGCTGATATATCAAAAATCTCATGTCTTTGTTATCACTGATCAACAGTGCCTGTGATAAATGTTGTAACTCAAGAAAAGTTCCTGTTTCAGTAGCTAACACATGTAGCAGGTGGCATCTTGTCTTTCAGTATCAGCCCTTCAAGTAGCCAGGGTGGGCTGACCAGTTTCCCAGTTAAAAGAGTGCAAAAGGCCAGGCACGGTGGCTCATGCCTGTAATCCCAGCACTTTGGGAGGCTGAAGTGGGCAGATCATGAGGTCAGGAGTTCGAGACCAGCTTGACTAACATGGTGAAACCCCATCTCTACTAAAAATACAAAAATTAGTATTTTTGGTGGCACGTGCCTGTAATCCCAGCTACTCAGGAGGCTGAGGCAGGAGAATCGCTTGAACCCAGGAGGCAGAGGTTGCAATGAGCCGAGATCATGCCATTGCACTCCAGCCTGGGCAACAGAGCGAGACTCCATCTCAAAAAAAAAAAAAAAAGTGCTCAATCTAGCCAGGTTCTAGAGAGTAAGCGCTTTCCATTACCCCACCTATGTGGTGGTTAAAGCTGTGAAAATTGGGGACAATTTCTGGGATCCCTCCAGAATAAGAATTGGTCTGTCACTGAGACAAGGCCCAGATACCAAAGAATTTCTTTAGGTTAAATCTGCTCACAAAAGAGCATCAGGTCAATTTGACTTGTCCCCAAGTATGATCACAGCTGTGACGACCTTGATGTTTTAATTCTCAGATTAAGTAGTTCTCCTACGTCTAAACCATTTCCAATAGAATGTGATGGAAAACACTCTTCCTTTCTGCTCTCAATTTCCTGGCTGAAACCAACCCCCTGGATGCCTCATCCCTAACATCATGATAATTTTACTTGTTTCTCCAATCACCTCCCTACCTCTGTATCTTGGTTTCATCCACCCAAATTTATTCCAAAAATGTTTGAATTCTGAATCCTGAAGACAGATGTTTGAAGACTATTGATCCCTTCTTCCCAATAAACAAGAAGCACTTAGACAAATTGAGTGCTTTGGGAGGCCCTCACATTTATACCAGGAGGAAGGGCTTAACGTTAAGCCAAATAGAAGATTGTAATGGTCTCAATATCTTTTTTCTTGTCTGTGATCTGCCAGGCTTATATCTAAAACAAAATCCCACAAAGTCTCCCCAAAACTGTTTTCTACCGTTTTCCTTAATTGAGGAAAAAAAAAAACAAATTATTCTTCAGTAGGCAGAAGAGAAAAATGGTGCTTTTGTAGTGCTCCATCTTACAAATGTATTACCAGCTCCCAACAAGACTGCACAAGGAACTCCAAGGGACAGCCTGACTTGTGAATACAGATTCAAACTCCTAAATGGAAATTAGCAAATCAAATCAAATGTGCATGTATGCTTCCCATTCCATCACATTCCAATAATATTTATATCATAATTGTAATGTTGAGGTAATAGCAATAGATCATTTTGATATTTAATTGGATTTTTACATTTTAAATATTAATTTAGTTGTAAAAATTCTCATATGATGAAATGAGAAATAACACTTTTATCCCTCCCAAACTCCCCTGTCCCGTATCACTTTCAGATACAGTGATGCATTCTTCTTTTTAATGGCTGGGGTATTATCTCATTGTTTAAATTGAACACAATATATCTAATTAGAGTCCCTTTAGTGAGATTAAAACCACTTCCAAGTTATTAAAAAGCTGCACTAAACATTAGGTATGTGTTTGAGTACTTTCATTGCTTAAATTTCTGAAATTATAGCTGCCTGATCAAAGGTATTTTAATTTCCTAAAAATTTTAAAATAAGTTTATAGACAGAATATGCCAATTTTAATGCATGAAAGTGCCTATTACTTTAGACCATCTAGATGAAAAAGCTTACCTCCATATTGTTTATGTTGTTTAAAGTTGTTCTTGAGATTTAGTTTATTTTAATGTACGTATTGGTTCCTTGTATTTCTTTGTGAACTCTGTGTTCATAGCTTTGCCTGGCTTTCTCTGGAACTGTTAATGATCTTGTTGACAAGAAAGAATTTTCCTTAAGAAAAATTAAAGAATTTTCCTTAAGAAAAATTAAAGAAGCATTATAAACTGAATACAAAATTAAAGTTCTATGAAAATTCAACCATTTTCTGAAAACATGTTTCTACTCTTTTAATATTTGAAATTTATATGGTGTGCTAAGAGCTTATTACTATTATTGAATATGAAGCCATTTAGAGAGTAGTGATTGATTTTAATCAACATTGAGGTAAGATACAAAAGAATGTGGAAGGCTCAGTAACGAGCAGGATAGATGTCTGGAGGTAGAGTGCTACAAAAGTTACCAACCAGCCATCAGCTTGAATGATAGATTACCTTAGTGTAAGCATCAAAATAGGAGATAGGTGCCAATAAAAACATTTTACCTTGTTATATTAGTTTGGCCCATACATGCTGAGGTGAAAAGCCAGCAAGTTCTCTTCCAGGATGTAAACGTCTTTGGACTAGGCTGCAAAAATGGAAAAACACAAGGGTTCTGATTCTTTCATTGTTTGAAATTGCTGCAATAGGAACAATATTAAGAAGTATTAGCTTAAAACCCAGAAAAATATTATCTCCTAAAAAATATACATGTAGCAACTCCCCGGTTTCCACAATTGAAGGGACATCTAAAATAGGTCACTTTTTGTATACCTGTTAAATTTTGTTCATGTTATTCATCTACTAGTGATGTTTGTTTCATCTTATGTCAGTTTTGTTAATTTGTATATTTCTATTAAACATAAATCAATTTGACATAAATTATCAAATTCATTGGAAAATTCTATTGTGCTATTTTAAATCTCTACTTCATCTCTAACTAGTCCTATGCTTTTTTTGATGTTGTTTACTTCTTCCTTTTTAAGTGTTTCATGTATGTATGAAATGAAAGGGACTTTTCTGTTGTTTGATGGAGTGTGTGTATGTGTGTGTGCATGTGTGTGCGTGCGTGTGTGTGTTTCATGTAATTCTTCATTTCTGAAAATTCTGGACCATTTTATATTTGAATATAGACAATTTGTCTTTCTATTTTCTCTCTCTTCTGCACCTTCCTTTGGTCTTCTGTTAGAGCTTCTCATTCTGTTCTCTAGGTCCTGTGACTTCTATTTATGTATCTGGCTCTGTTCTGGAACAATTCCTCATATCTATCTATAATCCCTCATAGAAAGCAAAGAAAACTTTTTTAGTTTTTACTTTGTTGCATAATTGTATTCTTTTTTCATGAGTATTATTTACTTATCTTTTTAAGAATTTTTGTTATATTTATTTTGAGATCCGCTTCCAAAAGTATCCCATCAATTCTATTTCAACTTGGATGTAAATTCTTTCATTGTTAGGTTTAAGTATATCTCTTAGTTTTAGATTTTCTTACCTGCTATTTATTTATTCTTTTTAAAAATTTTATTTTATTTTATTTTAAGTTCCAGGATACATGTGCAGGATGTGCAGGTTTGTTACGTAGGAAAACGTCTTCTGTTTTTAATTCTTCTTTGTGAGTTAACATTGTGCAGTTCTTAGATTTATCCAGTTCCTCCCTTGGGGAGTAGAAGCCTCTTGATGTAGTAACTCTGCAACTGTTGTGATCTTTCCTGCTTTCTACTGAAAGAAACAATTCTAAACAAAGTCCAAGGTGAAAATCCTCCTTCTGGAGTCTCACATCACAAAATTGGAGTGAATGTAGGGAAAGTAAACCCTAAGTTTGTGCATTAACCAGTCTTATGATTCCAGTATGACATGGATGAGTCAGAGACAGCAGCTCATTTCCAGGGGAGACCCTGAGCCAACCATTTTAAGTATCCAGATCTTTTCAAGCAGAGAACTAAAGTAAAGCAAGATCTTAGGCTGCAGCTCCAACCCCATGCTGGCATTGAAACAGGAAGCCTCACAGCCAGGGTGCATTCCCCTGCGTGTCATGTGCTCCCCATGGAAAGTATATGATTTTTTTTTCTGTTTCACTGCCAATAAAAGCAAAATAATATTGCTTTAATCATTTATTTTCTATTAATCTCAAGTAGCTACTATTTATCTAAAGGATTTTACTGTACATTGTACTTTGTTGTCCTTTAAAAGCCATTACTTTGTTATAACTTGTCACAGTGATTATTATGACATCTTCTAAATGACATCATATGATTGACAGATTCGACATAAAAACTACAGATATACTTAATTTTATTTGGCTTACTCAGGCCTTTTCAAAAAACCTGTGGCTAGTTCTGAGTTCCCAACTTAAAGGTTAATTGGAAGACAATTCATAGAATAACTTGATTTCATTTTGTTTGCATGTTGTCTTTCTTTTCCTCACTAATGCCAATAATTCTTATCATTTTGGTACTATTATTCTCTAGCTCTACGATGATACAATGAACACTTTGTTACTATGGGGGAGATATTTCATTTTATTTGCTATGCTTACATTTGTCAAATGATTCCCCAAATAAATACGCATCTTTCTAGTCTCTGTCCTTTCAAAATTTCAGGATAACATTTCAGAAAAAAATTTATTTTGTTATACTGGGCATAATAATAATATAAGAAGAGAGAAAACCTAGTAATATTTAAGAGTGTTGGTGTCTAACTTAAAAAGATTTTCTATTTTGAAACATCTCTTACTAAACACTTAATCTATCACTTAGAAAAATTAAACTTCATGGTTAGTCTCATGTGTATGTGTGTGTTTCATGTCATTCTTCATTTCTGAAAATTCTGGACCATTTTCTATTTGAATATTGACAATTTGTCTTTCTATTTTCTCCCTTCTGCACCTACTTTTAGTCCTTAATTATTATTATTATGCAAAGTCACATGTATTATTGTGCAAAGTTTTATGAGGTTCAAGAAAACCTTTGAATGTTTAAATTTGTTTTAAATTATTCTTGGAGAATTAGAAATTGTCTTAACTTCCATAAACTGAAATCCTTCAAGGATTGTTTTAAAATCTCCAACATTTTAGTTAGTTGAAACTTGGCAAATTTAGCTTCCAAAGCATTGTGTTTTGATTCAATGATTTCATGACAGTTGGTTGGAGTGTGTGTTTGTGTGTGTGTGTGTATGTGTGTGTGTGTGTGTATGAGTGCATGCCTGTGTTGGTGTGTGTGTGTATGTACTTGTATATGTACTTACTAGAAAATGCTTTCTAACTCTTTTTCCAAATATATAAAATTGAATTTATTTGCTTGGCTCCATATTCAAAATTTTATAGTAATGAAAGACTAAAATATGTTATTATAGATATTGCTTAAATATATTTTTATCAAATTATGTCATAATTATATAGATATGCTGGGGTGATGGGGAAAGAATTGCATTTAATTAGTACAGCAATAGGAAGAATTTATATGTTAACAACAACCATAAAGTCTATTTAAAAATAAACTAACATATATGTATTTAGAAAATATATTTTGGAATCAATTTTATTTTATCTAGCTAATGTACGTGACACCAAACATTGAAATGACATATGCTCCTCTGGAATGAACTCTGATTTTTTTGGTCTTACTCCTTATGCTAATCCATATGCTATAATATATATAAATCAACCTGTGGCCAAAACTCTGTTGTCAGGATTTAAATATCCTATTTATATGAGATTAAAAATAGCTAACAAAGAGTATCTTTAAAATGGATCCAACAATAAAACAATTACCCAAGATAAACAGCCTGAAATAGAGAAAAACAGGACAGATTTCTCACATTGCACATATAAAATTACAATATGCATTTATAATGCAAATTAGGTAAATGAGAGAGATGAAATGGTATTGTTTTGCGTGAAAGTATTATATATAAAAATAGAACATAATGGACTATCACGCCACAAGGGTTTTTTGTTTTTGTTTTTGTTTTTTAGTATCACACAGTACTATTCCATATTTATCATTTGGTTCTATTTTTAGTCCCCAACTCTTACTGTCAAAATCAGACCTTCTTAAATTAAACATTAAAATACATCATATCAACCACGTACCACACAATTCCCCATATGGCGCTGTCCTCACATTCCACACACTACTCTCTCGACTTTTGCACGCATTCTGTTGCTATGGCCAAAAGTGAGTAAATTTAGCCTATGTGAAAATAAAGAACGCTTATCACCAGACACATGCATCCCACCCAACTAAGAGGTTTCCTTCCTTTTTCCATCTCAAAGACAAATTTACAGAAGAAATTCTCCAACCCCTTGAATTTGCAAGCAGAAAAATCTGATAGAAAGTTTACAACTAAAATTCTCCCAACCATCGTAAGAGTAAACTCTGTTGAGGAGGAGGATTTTCATTCAATTAACCATTCAATTAACCGTTTTCAGTTGAGCACCTAGTATATGTCATGCACTATGGTAGGCACAAAGAATACAGTTATGAACAAAATAGACACAGTCCCTGCTCTCAAAAAACTTTTACTATATATGTGATACAAGATATTAATTAAGTCACAGTGATAGTATTATAATTAGATGACACACTAGTTGGCTGGCTGCCATAACAAAGTTCCACAAATTTAGTGGCTTAAACAAAGAAATTAATTGCCTCAACGTTCTGGAGGCAAAGATTCTGAGATCAAAGTATCGACACAGTTGGTTCCTTTTGTTGCCTATGAGGAAAAATCTGTTCCATGCCTCTATCCTAGCTTCTTGCCGTTTTCTGGAAATCTTTGGCATTCTTTGGCTTGTAGACTCGTCAACCTCACCTCTGCCTTGATGCCCACATGGCAGAGTGTATGTGTGTGTGTGTGTGTGTGTGTGTGTTTCCAAATTTCCCCTTTTTTAAGGACACTGGCCATTTTCGTTCATGGGTCCACCCTAATGTAGTATGACCTCATCTTAACTAATTAAATCTGAAATGACCCCATTTTCACATAAGGTCACATTCTGAGGTAGTAGGGATTAGAACTTCAACATATGACTTTGGCATAGGGGGAAGAGGACACAATTTAACCTATAGCAGATAATCAGTGCTTTTAAAGGGAAGGCCACCATTTTACTAGAGTCTAACGACATTCTGCAACCTGGAGCAGGATGTGAGGGCTGAATATTGGTGAGGGATAGTTTACCTAACAGTATGACTTGATGAAGAAAATAGAAAAAGAGAAATTGAACATAGATGCAGAAAGAGGGAAAAAGGCCACCCTAGACTCTCTCAAGTTTCCAGGTGATTTTGTTCCATTGTGTTCAAAACTAGGGGAAGCTAACCCATTGAAACATTGAATAAGCCTATCACTTTCTCTTCTACTGCACTTGAGATGAATGCCTATGAATGATTGTAGCATAGACAATGCCTACGAACAGAAAACCTTCTTTCAATCATCATCCAGAGACTAGAGAGACTAGACTCACTAAAGAGATAAAAAACAGAAGTATATAAAAAAAATTCAATAATGAGACCAAAATATGTAGAACTTCAGTATGTACAGTTAAATTCATACCACATGCAATAGTGTCACAGAAAAGGATTAGGAAAGATAAATCCAGAGAACGATGTGAATTTTACAAGATAAAAATTGACTACATAGTTGCAAGATAAATATTGTATGAAAAGTAGATACAGGAAGGCGAATATAGAGTAATTTTGTAAAGATATGATAAAATAAAATGTGGGACAATGACAGAAGCAAGAACAGAGACGAGACCAATTTTAGAAATACCAGTGTATAGTAACACTTTCTGAGAAGGTCTAAAGTGCATTTGCCTCAGATTTTGGTACCTATTGACCTTAAAAGGCAGCCCCTGGAAATTAATATGGAAAGTCTTGTAAGAAAGAAATGCTGGCAAATGTTTAATGGTTGACTTTCTGAAAAAAAAGTATATATGAACAATATAAGTATAGATATAGATATACAAACCTAAGTCCATTATAAATTTAACTGATATAAAGGATATGCAGCATATAACTTGCAAATAAGATATACATTACTCTTTATTGTAAATTTCTTATGGTGAATTTATTCACACAAAATGGTCTCATTTATTTTTTGCCAAATTCTTATATAGTCAACCTAGTTTTGCAATTAACAAATGAGAATAATTCCAACTGAATGTTGGTTAATATGAATGTTAACTTATTAATGAGTAAGATGACATTGAAACAATAGAGATATGTGTTGGAACTTCACTCATTCATCAAGGACCGGAATGATTTGTTTGCCGATTGGATACTAATATTTAGGTACCAGAATATTTTCACCATGTGTGCTATTCGCAATGTAACAGCTACAGACACAAGATACTTTTAAGTTTAATCAGAATTATTATATTTTATCCATTACTTTATACAGTCTATACAGTTAAAAAATATATGAGGCTCTGACAATATCTGCAGTGTATAAACTTCCACCATGGCTGATTTCAAGCTACCAACCTGACATCATTGAACGCAAATTTGAGAAGAGATGCACAGAAGTACCACATCATATGACACTTTTACCATTTAGATATAATAGACATAACCTCAAGAACTTAGACAATAGTAAAATTATTCAAAATTGATGAGCACTGAATATTTACCACTGTTTTAAAATGAATTGTCAGATTTTATAACTTAATTTTTTAGAATGATGGTGTTTAACAATTGGCTCCAAAATTACTGCAGATTTAACAATCAGCCCTCAAGCTTGTGAGAACCAGCTCCAGTACTCCACTGAAACGAACTCACCCTGAAAGTGGAGAGTTTTTAGTCATCTAAATTTGGTTCAAGAGTAAGAGAAAAGAGAAGTTTCTGGCAAAGATAACGTCTGCCACTCCAGTTAACATCGGGACACACCACCGGATATTTTAGGATGAGGGGACTACAATAATAGAGTAAAAACTGAAAGAGTCATCATGTTAAAATAAGAAAGGCATTTGCTTATTAAAAGTTTAAGTCCAAAAACGAACCAGGAGTGAGAAATGTAGAGAGGTTTCAGTGTTTCCCTAAGGCAAATACCTAGACTGAGTGAGGATCAGAAGAGTAATAAAACTTTCATTAAAACCCCCCAAGAAAGCAGTGAGGAAGCCATCACTCAAAAACTAAGAGTTTATTGAATTTTGAGAACAACCGGTTCCAGGTGGCACCTGAAGCTGACATCCAGAAAGCTACTCTTGTTAATGTCGCCAGTGACCTTGAAATTGCCACCTAGAGTTAACAAATTTAGTCTTCAACTGACTTATCAATATTTGACATCGATGTCTATTTCCTTCTTCTTGTCTCATCTCATGCCCTGTCCTCGATGGTACCACTTATTTTTTCTTATTTGTTTTACTTCTAGCTACCTGGCATTTCTCCCATGCACCGTTATTAACACATTTCAGTGCCAGAGTTCCCCGGGGATCCATAATCATCTTTTTCCCCTTCTTACATCACATAGTCCAATGGTCATCAACCAGAGGAACTTTAGCCTGAGGAGACACTTGGCAATGTCTAAAGGCATTTTTTGTTGTCACAGCTTGGAAAGAACTACTGACTTCTAGCAGGCAGAAACCAGGGGTGCTGCTAACCATCCCACAATGCACAGGAGAAGCCCCCACAACAAAGACTTATCCACCCCAATGTCAATAATTTCATAGTCTCCTCTTCCACTCGTAACACTTAATAACTCTCAAATCTGTATCTCTGGACCAGAAATAGGCTTGAAATCTGCCTCTCTCAGTCCACCGTACTTTTCAGTTTTGAGTTTCACAGGCAGCTCTCATGAAACATGTCTAAGAAAAACTTCATCATTTCTCTTGCAAATCTACTCCTCTCCCTACAGCCTCTAATTTTGCCATTGACACTAAAAATGGAACTGAGATTTAACCTAGTCTACTCCACTTGTTTTACCCTTCAGGTCTCATCAGTTTCTAAGTCCCGAAGCTTCTGACCCCAATGCCTCTCTCAAAGGTGCTTCCTTTGCCTCAATACTGATATTTATCATATCATATTAAAAGCCTCTTAACTGATTATCCTGTTTCCAGATTTAGCTTCATTTAAGCCAGGCTCCTACAATGCATTCATAGAGATCTTTCTAAAGTGAAAATCTGAATATGGTCTTCCCTTTATAAAAACTGTAATCATTTCTAACTTTTCCAGGTTTATCCCTTTAGGAGGGATGCAAACATTTCATGATGATAGCAGCCAACTCTATGATGCTGATCCTCAATGCCATGATAAATTCCAGCTTTTCTGAAAAATATCATATTCTGAGAACAGCACTTCCTCTGTGCTGCCATACATTTGCTCATGATTTCATCTTACCCATTATTCCGCAAATTCCCATTTGCCTAGCTAGTATTCATTCATCCATCTCAACTCAATTGAAATACCACCTGCTTTCTAATAGAATGCAATTTTTTAAATGATAATATCCATTTTAATAAGAACATGAGAAAAAAGGCATTCTTATATAATATTGGTAGGTTTATAAACTCCAACAACTATTTGAAAAAGAATTTTTCATTTCTTTTCTGGCAATTTTAAACATTTATTTTATGTTAAAATGTTCATATTTTTATTTTTTGGCAATTGTAAATAAGAATATATTTGCAAAGATGCTTTTTGCAACACTGTTTTCTAAGACATAAAAATGGAGATAACAGAATGACTTTAAAATACGTAAATTAGCTTCATGGAATAACTTACAGGCATTTTTAAAATAAGGTAGATTCATATGTATTGATCTGAAAGTGAACCTTATATTGCTGGGGGTGAAGATAAAACAGTATGTTATTATGATATGTCAGTGAAAGAAAAAAAGATTATTATTTGCTCATTTTAAATAAGCTTTTTATATTGGAATAATTTTAAATTTATAGAAAAGTTGTAAAGACAGTTCAGAGGATTTGTAAATACTTCCTCACCTATTTTCTCCCATTGTTAATATCTTACATTTCCACAATAGATTTCACAAAACTAAAAGAAAACAACATGGGTAGATTACTATTAACCAAACTCCAAACTTTGTACAGTTTCCATCTGTTTTTCCACTAATATCCTTTTTCTGCTTCAAGATCTAATCTAGGGTACCACATTATATATAGTTTTCTCATTGTTGGCTTTATACTCTTCTGTATTATTCGTATTTTTTTCAGTGTGCATATATAGTTCTAGCAGTGTTAAAGGCTCAAGTGTTACTTCCTGGAATTCTTCCCTATCTGAGTTGAATGTTCCTCCTCAGTTCCCAAGGAATCTTGAGCATCCTTCCAAGATTACATGTATTACATCCTGTTATAATCATTAATTTTCTTTTCTGTCTTTAAAACTGGTTTTAATTAGGCAACCCTGAAATAAGACAGCTCTCAGAATTATTAGCTTACTTTGTTTCTTCATGTCATTATACTCCTGGAGCTAATATGCAAGTACATTAATAAAAAAAATAAATAAATAATAAATATCATACATTGTAATAACAGACCCAATGGATAAAACTACATAAAATATTTTTACCTACATCTTTACACACGGTAATGAAATTGGTGAGCACTGAGAGGAAAGGTACAAATCTCACCAGCAGAAACTTAGAACCAGCTAACAAAATTTTCATTTTAAATTAATTGGGTCATTAAATGATTTCATAGTGACATCTTAATGTCAGACAGGGCATCAATAAAATCTGACTGTAGGGTCTGATAGCTAGAGATAACATATGTATAGCATGCAAATAATGCTTATTACTTTTCAGTGAGTGACAAACATTAACACTAATCATTGACAGGTTTTGTAGATAATTCTAAATTGTTCTTTCAAAGAACCCTTTAGGGATGATTTTATTGATTAGAGATTTTAAAAAATCCTTCCCGAACAGTACACATCTGACCACTGAAGGAATTTCCAATTCCCCAAGGAATATAATGGCCTCTGCTTTTAGAACTGATACATTTTATAAAATACATTTCAACTAGGTCTTCTGTTTTGGCGCAAAATATTCCTCATCTATTGTAAACATTGCTTGGAGTCATCAGGTTACTAGTAAAAAGGAGATAAGAGAGATGAAAAGTTGGTGGACTTTGATGAGAGTAAACACTTTAAGCCATAACAACAAAAGTATTAAAAATTACAAAGTAGCTACTGTTTCATTCCCTTTAAAATTAAAGAAAATCTCTTCTAGCAAGTGAGTACAGCCACCTCTGCTTACACAATCTGAAAGCAGTAGATTATGAAACAATACAAGGAAATTCTTTTTAAGGTTTCATGTAGCTTATGAGTCATCATGTAATTGAAGAAAATTGGTAAATATTCCTCAAAGTCAAGATCTCAGAAGAAGGAAGTTAGTCATAAGATCAAAAGAATTGAGCATGAACACCACCTTTAGGTAAATATTTAGAAACTTCCATAATACACACTCTCCTCAACATAGTACCACTATAATATAAATAGTGTAACTGCTTCAAAGTCTATGCAGACCCTCTAACCAACCCAAACAAGGCAAAATCATCCAATTTATAAAGATATCCTCAGGTAGAGTTTCCGAGCAAGGTGGAATTTTTATTGGTTGCATAAAATAATTGTTTAAAGAAAAGCAATAGCATAAAATCAGGAAACCCAGCAATTTATCAGAAGCCAAATAAACACCTTGGTATGGATGATCCAAGGCATATTTCCATATTACAATGCCAAACCAGGTCCACCTTTTGTTGGCCTTAGTATATAACACCAATGAGAGAATTCTTTTTAAACAAACTGATAAAAATTATTTAGCAGTAAACCTAGTCTCCAGCCTATATTATCTGTAAAGCTCTTGGCAACATATGAGTCAATATGTAGGTACATATATGGTATGTGTGTATACATATATAATATGGAGATAGAGACTGAGAGATTAGGTTTGATAAAATAAACCAAAATATTAATGATTAGAGCAGTGAGACCTTGGTTGATTTTTCTTTTCTTGATATTGCTTATATGTAAATCCAAAATTTTCTACTCTAATTATTACTTCTGTAATAAGGAAAATGACATTAAAATTGTTTTTACAAACACAGCTTCCACTATTATATACACACATAAAAAATGAGTATGGGGACATTATGGATATGTGAAAAATATATATAAGAGGGAACATATCTAGTAACTAGAGTCTTCATTTTAACATTTATAGATGATAATACACAATCGCTTCGAGTTCTATGTGAGTTTAAATGTACCAGCTTCCACTTTTACATTTTCTAATGCCTCAAGGAGATAATGATAAAGTGCATTCACAGGATAAAATAAAAAGGAAACAGCTCGCAGTCTACTCTTGAAGGCACCATGCTAGCCATTTATTTATAATAATATCACATAAGATAGGCCTTATAATTCCAGTTTTGCAGATGAGGAAAAATGCCTTGAGGAATTAATGTTTTATACTTCCAGAGTCAGAAATTAAGAATCCAAATTTAATTCTAAGTCTTCTCAGGGTATCAAAGAGTCTCTACACAGCACACACTAGTATAGCCTGAGTAGCAGCTGATGTGACCCACTAGAAGAAGGGTACTTTGGTTCTTACCCATTTCACTCCAGGATTTATGGACCGTCCAAAAGGCTTCATGATTTCTGCAAATTCTCAGCCACTCTCCTCATTATAACAAGGAGTTTACTCACCTTCTCATGTCATTATTGGCTTCAAATGCCTCTTTGATCTAATTGCTGAATGACTTTAGTTTATGGATTGTACACATGCTGTCCTTGTTTTATAGCTCATCCAATCACAAATAGAAGAACATCTTTTTTGTCCATGAGTCCTCTCATTGTTTCCATTTTTCCTTCTAAAATACTTGCCCTGTGGACTTTCGCTACGAAAGTCAGATAGAAAAACAATAGTCTCACATAGACGACGTATGTAGCCCCCACATTTGCGTAAAGGCAAATCTCTGTAATAAATCCCTTATTGTACACCTATACTGTAAGTCCTCTTTTTCTGATCAAACCCTGAGTGACCCACAGAAATTCTTGGGTTTGCAAACAAAAAAGAGAAAGATAGATTAAAACACACACACACACACACCCTTGATATTCCTAATTGGAGTCAAAACTTGACCAAATCTTGATCATTGTAACTGCAGGATAGCCAGTGATAACATATTGGTCTCAATGATTCTAAAACAACCAAAAATAGTTTTAAACAATCCAAGTATTAAAGCATATTCAAATGTCATCAAAAAGGAAGAATGTCGCCAGTGGTATCCAGGATCATTTTATTTTATTAAGGGTTGTATAATTTTTATGTTGGGTTTTGTTTTCCTTTTAACTAATTCAAGTTGACAAGATTATAATTTCTAAATTATTCCTCCTTAATTGTAACTATTTTAATTTTGTAGAGTACCACTACTTTTTCTTTAAATGCAGCTTAAGAAGGAAATATATTGAAATATTTCTTGTCCTGATGGGTATTTGAGAAACTGGGAAAGCTATGTGCCCATTTGATGATGGTTCAACTTTTTCATAATGACAGACCAAAGAAGATCCCTCTGGCTAGTGTGACCTGTTTACAGTGAAGCTTGAGTCTGTTGATGTATTTTACTAAGTATTTTTGAATTTTCACATTGTTAGATACACAAGTTTCTAAACTTTAGACAGCTATCTAATCCACTAGCTATAACACAGATTGCCTTTAGGCGTATTAATTCACTTGATGGATTCCAGTTATTTGGAGACTTTCTGTGATATGTATAAAACAGAGTGACTGTGACTTCTTAGTCACACGAGGAAACATAAAAAGTATAGCTTAACTAGCTGCTTTATCTGATATGTCAAACTGACAAGTTGTCTTTAAAACTCTAACTTGTTGCTACCATGCAGATCAATAAAGGGTGGAATAAAGTTCAGTAAAGAGGAATTATTGAGGGATAATTAAGCCAAATTTGAAAGAAGAAACAAATTTTAAAAATCACCTCTTTATTTTATAGAAAACTGTATCAAATGCACTGTTGGTTGTTATGTAAAAATAAATTATTGATATAACTTATATTTGCCTCTCCATTTAAAAAGAGGACTGAGGAGAATAAATTATGAATGAGGTATTTACTGAGCAAAAGCCTATTTTTCCTTCTATTAGGAATCACACATTTTTGCCATCCTATCTGATGGCTGGAGCTCCACACTTGAGAGTTGACTCCACCTTAGCAAATGCTTCTGTACCTTACCCAAACACTCTCTTTTCTTACTTACCTGGCACGCCTTTAAAACAAATTTTCTTTGCCATTTTAAAAACAAGAAACAAACAACAACAAAACAAACATGTAAATAGAGTATTTAATCACAGAGAAGGGGATTAAGGCAACTTTGTCATAGGCCCCTTAAACTTTCTTTTTCCTTGGCAAAATGTCAACTTATATGGTTCTGTTTAACCCATCAAAAGTTTTTCAAGAATTTTGAAGGGCCTGAGATTTGACCCTATGTGCAATGTAACAAGTTTGCGTGCCACAGTTTCATGGAGGCTGATCAAAGGCACAAGACTCCTGGGACAGAAACAAAGGCCTTTATTACTCATAGCACAACGGGAAGCATGAGTCTCATGGCTATGTTGGTTCCTCTTGCTCTCTAAGTCCCACAGGGGTGACAGAGAGGCACCCAAGAGAATGCTGTGCATGCACTGGGTTTGCATCCCAGCCAAGTGACCCCTAAGCTTAGGAGGAGATATTACCTCTACCTTCCAGTGTTGTTTGCTATAGAAATATCCTTGAAAAAAATAGCCCAAAACAAAGATTGCCAGTGTCTCTGCTCACAAGATGTGCAGAATTGTGAGAAACCCATGGAGAATTATCTCTCAACAAGTGTAATGCCAGACTTAGTTCCAAATCTTCCTTATTATAAAGAGCTGATATTTGCCTACTCTTAACCTCAAAAAACTTGATCTAGTAAAGGGAAGGAGTATTCTCTATAGCAGGTGAAATTATTTCAAACTAATTTATTGGGCTTCCAATTACATGTGGCATTCATTGTATTAGGACTGTATCAAGCAAATCACCTGTTAAAAAACCAGTTCATTCCTTAACTACTTCACCTTACATATATTAAGAGCAATGCTCTCAGAAACATGTCTTAATCTGTTTGGGCCATTAAAAAAATGCATAATTTATCTTTCACAGCTCTGGAGGCTGGGAAATCCAAGATCAAAGCATCGGATCCAGCGTCTACTGAGGGCATACTTTCTGGTTCTGTGTCTTCACATGGTGGAAGGAATAAATGAGTTTTCTTTGGCCTATTTTTATAAGGGCACTGATCACATTTATGATGATGTAATCACTTCCCAAAAGGCCTTCAGCACCTAATACCATCACTTTGCGTGTTAGGATTTCAACATATGAATTTAGGGGTTAGAAACATTCATATCATAGTAGAATGTATTTATTCACATGCTATGAGAATAAAATTCTGCCTCAAAAAACAGGGTGTCAATTAGAGGAAAAATGGTGGATAAGAGGCAGGACTAACTTGTAGCTCCCACTCAGAGGGACAGAGCTATGAAGACCCATATCATGAACTTTTGCTCCAAGAACTACCACAGAAATATACCAGGTAAGCCCAGAGAATCCACAGACCCTCTGAAAGAGGTGGATTGCTGCTGCAGATTCCGGGGGACAGCCAACCTTGCTTTCTCAGCTGGGAGGCCTGTAGCCTGGGGCAAGTTCTCAGCCCTGTTCACCAGCTGCCTGGAAATAAACTTGATGCTCTTTGAGGGGCACGGTGGGAGTGAGACTGGCCTTTTGGGCTGTGGGCTGCATGGGAACTGAATGAGGCCTGTGGCTGCTGGCCTTCCCTCACTTCCCTGGTTACCTATGTGATGCAGCAGAGACAGCCATAATCCCCTTGGGAACATAAGTCCATTGGCTTGGAAACCACACCCTCATATGCCACAGCAGCCACAGCAAGCCCTGCCCAAGGAGAGTCTGAGCTCAGAAATGCCTAACCCTGCCCCCATCTGATGGTCTTTCCCTACCCAGCCTGGTCGCTGAAGACAAAGGACATAATATCTTGGGAGCTCCATGACCCTGCCCACCACCTGATACTCCCTATACTACCAAAGCTAATGTGCCTGTAAAAGTGCTACTTCCTGGGGGAGGCCAACAAACACAAAACCAGTGCACTTAACAAAAATACCACCAAGGATCTTCTCAGAGTCCACTTTACTCCCCCACTACCTCCACAGGAACAGGTACTGGTATCCATGGCTGAAAGACTTGAAATTGGATTATATCACAGGACTTTTTGCAGACACTCCCCAATACCATCCTGGAGCCTGGTAGCTCCACTAGGTAGCTAGATACAGAAGTGAAATAGCAGTCAATGCAGTTAGGCTCTGGGGAGCCCCATCCATTGGGGAAAAGGAGAGAATGCCACATCAAGGGAACACCTCGTGAAACAAAACCATCTGAACAGCAGCCCTTGAGTCCCAGATCTTCCCTCTGACATAGTCTACCCAAATGAGAAGGAACCAGAAAAACAATCCTGGTAATATGATTAAGCAAGGTTCTTTAACACCTCCAAAGGATCACACTAGCTCACCAGTAATGGACCCAAACAAAGACAAAACCTCTGAATTGACAGAAAAAAAATTAGAAGGTCAAGTACTAAGCCAATCAAGGAGGCTCTAGGGAAAGGTGAAGTCTAGCTCAGAGAAATAAAATATATATATATATATAAGATATGAAGGGAAGAATCTCTAGTGAAATAGATAGCATAAATGAAAAACAATCACAACTTTTGAAAATCAAGGACACATTCAGAAAAATGCAAAATGCACTGGAAAGTCTCAGCAATAGAATCAAACAAACAAGTAAAAGAAAGAACTTCAGAGCTCAAAGAGAAGGCTTTTGAATTAACCCAATACAACAAAGACAAAGAAAAAAGAATTTTAAAAAATGAACAAAGTCTCCAATAAGTTTGGGATTATGTTAAATGCCCAAACATAAGAATAATTGGTGTTCTTAAGGAAGAAGAGAAATCTAAAAGATTGGAAAACATATTTGAGGAAAAAATTGAGGAAAACTTCCTGGGCCTTGCTAGACATCTAGACATTCAAATAGAAGAAATTCAAATAACACTTGGGAAATTCATTGCAGAAAGGTCATTGCCTAGGCACATAGTCATCAGGTTATCTAAAGCCAAAATGAAGGAAAGAATCTTAAGAGCTGGGTGACAAAAGCATCAGGTAACCTCTAAAGGAAAACCTATCTGATTAGCAGCAAACTTCTCAGCAGAAATCCTACAAGCCAGAAGGTATTAGGATTCTATCTTTAGCCTCCTTAAACAAAACAATTATTAGCCAAGAATTTTGTATCCAGCAAAATTAAGCTTCAGAAATGAAGGAAAGATACTGTATTTTTCAGACAAACATATGCTGAGAGAATTTGCCACTCCAAGCCAGCACTACAAGAACTGTTAAAAGGAGCTCTAAATCATGAAACCAAATCCTCAATGTACACCAAAATAGAATCTCCTTAAAGTATAAATCTCACAGGACCTATAAAACAATAACACAATGAAAAAAGAAAACACACAATGTATTCAGGCAACAAATAGCATGGTGAATAGAATAGTACCTCACATCTCGATACTAATATTGAATGTATATGGCCTAAATGCTCCACCTACAAGATACAGAATGGGCCGGTGTGGTGGCCCATGCCTGTAATCCCAGCACTTTGAGAGGCCTAGGTGGACGGATCACCTGAGGTTAGGAGTTCAAGACCAGCCTGGCCAACATGGTGAAACCTCATCTCTGCTAAAAATACAAAAATTAGCCAGATGCAGTGGCATGCACCTGTAGTCCCAGCTACTTAGGAGGCTGAGGCAGGAGAATTGCTTGAACCCAGGAGGCAGAGGTAGCAGTGAGCCAAGATTGCACCACTGCACTCCAGCCTGGGTGACAGAGCAAGACTCTGTCTCAAAAAAAAAAAAAAAAAAAAAAAAGGTACAGAAGGGCCAAATGGATAAGAACTCACCAACCAAGTATCTGCTGTCTTCAACAGACTCACCTGACACATAAAGACTCACATAAACTTAAGGTAATGGGATGGAAAAAGACATTCCATGCAATGGACACCAAAAGTGAGCAGGAGTAGCTATTCTTATATCAGAAAAAAACAAACATTAAAGCAACAGCAGTTTAAAAAATACAAAGAGGAACATTATATAATGATAAAAGAACTAGTCCAACAGGAAAATATCACAATCTTAAATATATATGCACCTAACACTGGAGCACCCAAATTTATAAAACAATTACTACTAGACCCAAGAAATGAGATAGACAGCAACACAATAATAGTAACAGACTTAAAAAAGAATAATACTCCACTGATAGCACTAGGCAGGTCATCAAGAAAGAAAGTCAACAAAGAAACAATGGACTTAAACTATACCCTAGAACAAATGGATTAACAGATATTTACAGAACATTCTACCCAAGATTCTATGCAGAATATACATTCTATTCAACAACACATAGAACGTTCTCCAAGATACACCATATGATAGGCCACAAAACATGTCTCAACACATTTAAGAAAACTGAAATTACATCAGAGTACGCTGATGTAATTTACATCAGAGTACGCTGATGTAATTTACATCAGCGTACGCTGATGTAATTTACATCAGCGTACTCTGATGTAATTTACATCAAGTACTCTGATGTAAACTCTGAGCAGACCAATAACAATCAGTGAGATTGAAATGGTAATAAAGAAAATTACCAACAAAAAAAAGTCCAGAACCAGATGGATTCACAGCTGAATTCTCTCAGACATTCAAAGAACTGGTACCAATCTTATCAACACTCTTCCAAAAGAGAGAAAGAGGGAATCCTCCTGAAATCATTCTATGAAGCCAGTATCATGCTAATACCAAAACCAGAACAGGACATAACAAAAAAAAAGGAAACTATAGATCAATATCCCTGATGAACATAGATACAAAAATCCTCAACAAAATACTAGTGAACCGAGGCTGACAGTGTATCAAGAGGATACACCATGATCAAGTGGATTTCATACCAGGGATGCAGGGATGGTTTAACATCTGCAAGTCGATAAATGTGATACATCATATAAACAGAAATAAAAACAAAAATCCTATGACCATGTCAGTACACACAGAAAAAACATTTGTCAAAATCCAGCATTCCCTTTTGATTAAAACTCTCAGAAAAATCAGCATAGAAAGGACATAACTTAGGGAAATAAAAGCCATCTATGACAAACCCACAGCCAACATTATACTGAATGGGGAAAAGTTGAAAACATTCCCCTTGGAAACTGGAACAAAACAATGATGCCCATTCTCACCACTTCTGCTCAACATAGTACTGGAAGTCCTAGTCAGAGCTCTCAGACAAGAGAAAGAAGGAAAGAGCATCCAAATTGGTAATGAGGAAGTCAAAGTGTCGCTGTTTGTTTGCTGATGACAGTATTGTATACCTAGAAAACCCTAAAGACTCATTTAAAAAGCTCCTAGAACTGGTAAATGAATCCAGCAAAGTCTCAGAATAAAATATTTGTGTACACAAATTAGTAGCTCTGCTATATGCCAACCGTGACCAAGCAGAGAATCAAATCAACAACTCAACCCCTTTAACAATAGCTAAAAATAAAAAATAAAATACTTAGGAATATACTTAATCAAGGAGGTAAAAGACTTCTACAAGGAAAACTAAAAAGCACTGCTGAAATAAATCACAGATGACACAAACAAATGGAAACACATCTCATGCTCACTCATGGGTAGAATCAATATTTTGAAAATAGCCATACTGCCAAAAGAAATCTACAAATTCAATGTAATTCTCATCAAAATATCACCACCATTCTTCACAGAACTAGAAAAAACAATCCTGAAATTCATATGAAACCAAAAAAGAGTCTGCATAGCAAAAGCAAGACTAAGCAAAAAGAACGAATCTGGAGGCATCCCATTACCCAAATTTAAAGTATACAATAAGGCCATAGTCACCCAAACAGTGTGGTACTGGTATAAAAATATGCACATAGACCAATGGAACAGAATAGAGAATCTGGAAATAAACCCAAATGTTTTTAGTCAACTGATTTTCAAAAAGCAAACAAAAAATAAAGTGGGGAAAGGACACCCTATTCAACAAATGGTGCTGGGATAATTGCTGAGCCATATACGGAAGAATGAAACTGGATCCTCATCTTTCACCTTATACAAAACTCATGATGGATCAAAGACTTAAATCTAAGACCTGAAACCGTAAAAATTGTAGAAGATAACATTGGAAAAACTCTTCTAAACATTAGCTTAGGCAAAGACTTTAAGACCAAAAACCTAAAAGCAAATGCAAAGCAAAACAAACAGATAGGACTTCATTAAACTAAAAAGCTTCTGCACAGCAAAAGAAATAATCAGCAGAGTAAACAGACAACCCATGAAGGGAGGAAAATCTCTGCAATCTGTATATTCAACAAAGGAGTACTATCCAGAATTTACAAGGAACTCAAATAAATCAGCAAGAAAAAAATCTATCAAAAAGTGGGCAAAGGACATGAGTAGACAATTCTCAAAAGAATATACACAAATTGCCAACAAAACATGAAAAAAAAATGCTCAACATCACTAATGATCAGGGAAATGCAAATCAAAGCCACAATGTGATACCACCTCACTCCTACAAGAATGGCCATAATCAAAAAATCAAAAAATAATAGATGTCGACATCAATGTGATGAAAAGGGAACACTTTTACACTGTTGGTGGGAATGTAAACTAGTACAACTACTATGGAAAACAGCGTGGAGATTCCTTAAAGAACTAAAAGTAGATCTACCATTTAATCCAGCAATCCCACTACAGGGGATCTACCCAGAGGAAAGAAGTAATTATATGAGAAAGATACTTGCACACACTTGTTTATAGCAGCACAATTCGCAATTGCAAAAATATGGAACCAGCCCAGCCCAAATGCCCATCAACCAATGAGTGGATAAAGAAACTATGATATATATACATATATATATATATATATACACACACATATATATATACACATATATATGCATATATATATACACATATATATACATATATATATACACATATATATATGCATATATATGTACACATATATATATGCATATATATGTACACATATATATATGCATATATATGTACACATATATATATGCATATATATGTACACATATATATGCATATATATGTACACATATATATATGCATATATATGTACACATATATATATGCATATATATGTACACATATATATATGTATATATATATACATAAAATGGAATACTACCCAGCCATGAAAAGGAATGAAATCATGACACTCACAGCAACCTGGATGTAATTGCAGACCATTATTTTAAGTGAAGTAACTCAGGAATGGAAAATAAAACTTTGTATGTTCTCACTCATAAGTGGGAGCTAAGCTATGAGGATGCAAAGGCATAAAAATGATACAATGGAATTTGAGGACTCAGGGGAAAGAGTGGGAGTGGGGAGAGGGATAAAAGACTACACATTAGGTACAGTGTATACTGCTCGGGTGATGGTGCACCAAAATCTCAGAAATCATCACTGAAGAACTTTTCTATGTAACCAAACACCATCTGTTCCCCAAAAACCTACTGAAATAAAAATAAAAAACACATACATACAAAAAGATGTTAATGCCTTAAATGAAATGATTACTTTTAATAAATTGTATGTGTAAATTTTTCAAAAACATAATAAAAACCATTCCCAAGTTTTACAACAACAACAAAAAAACGAAATTCTAATTAGAAACAAGGTTCTGAATAAAATCTTATTAAGACCTTTTTGGTTTTCATCTTCACAAAGAATTAATCAAACACTTCCAGTTTATTTTTTTTTAAGTAGGAGAATAACAATTTATTAAAACACCACTATATGTTTTCTAACTAAAAACCTCAATTTAACAATTAAAATGTAAAAAATAGGGTATAGGTAAAATTGAAATGAAGACAGAGAAATAAAAATAGACAGTAGATGATTTAATATATTAGCTATATAGGCAGATAGATGATAGATAGATAGATAGATAGATAGACAGATAGACAGATAGATAAAGATAGATAATAGACAGGTAGATTGCTTTTATTTTTCAGATTTCACACTAATACAAAATATTTATTGAGGATTGACTGATGGCCTATTATTCTACTATGTTCTTGAGGGCAGGGTGAAGGAGGATATTGAGTAAGGAGATACAATTGCTATTAGCAATGACTCAATTTCTCTATACCAACAACCAAAAGCATTTTTATTTTTTAGGCAATGTTCACGGACAGAAATGAAATGACTGAATTCACCCATAAAAGAAGGATAAAACTGAATTTAATAAAAGATAATTTTGAACAGTTTTGTTTAAATTATGCAAAAATAAACAACTTGACATTTCAAGAAAATATGTATGTGTTATAGGTGTGCAACATTGCCTATGTTTTTTATATTGGTTGTTACTTTTTCAAATACTAGACTTATAGCTTTTTAATGTTTTTTATATCATCCAGTTTCTCTGTATGTAAAATAATGGCTAAAAGTACAGTAATTATAGATGTAATGCATCTTAAAAATCTCATTAGTACAGATGGAAATAGGAAGCCAATACTGACACTGCTGTGGATAAAGCAGTAACAGTTCTGAGGCTGCCAGAATCCAGGGCTGTAACGGGTTGACTTTCATTTTTAAGGTTATACTTTGAAGTAAATATTAATGGGAATAAGATAAAAAACAAGAGTCACACTTGACTGTGTAATTAATGGCTCAGTGAAAAAGGGAGAAAGAAGGTATAATCTGTCTCTCCACAGGTGGGAAGTCATTTGTCCTGTATTTCATGCTCTGAGCAAAGTGAACAATCTATCCGCAAATGAATGAGCACCTCATTCTGCTTTACTTTTAACAGTATTCTCCTTCTTGGCAATGTTACCAGTTTTTTTTTTTTTCTTAGCCCCTCAAGTTAACATCTAAATTCTCTCTTTAAACAGAACAATCACTCAGAATTTTGCCATTGCATACAGTTCTTCATATTTGATCATTCCACTGATTGTTGCCCAAAAGTCTATGTGTGACCTGAGAAAGCAACTACACCATGTTAATCAGCAAAGAAAGAAAGACCTTCTAATTATATCTTGTAACTAAATAATATACAGTTGAATTAAAAATTAAATTTGAATATTTTAAAGTTGAACGCATTTTAGAGTTGAAATATCTCATATTTAAGAATTGTATAAAATATAGCAAAAAGTTTCCAGTGAACAAAACTCACATGTGTGTGTGAGAAAGTAATGACTTAAAGTCACTGAAAGTAATGACCTAAATTAAAACCCAGCAATTATTTTCAGTATTTTAAATTATTTTAATCATCCTCTCCAGCATTCCTAAAAATGAAAAAGGTCACCTTAACTCAGAGTCTTCTGCACATGTATAGCTATTCTTATGTAAAAAAGTACATGAAAACCAATTATCATACTATAAAGAATTTGGTCATCAGAAGAGCAGGAGAAAATGCACTGTTTGGTTTAAAGGCTTTAAGCAAGCATATTGTTGTATTTTAATTACTTCAACAATACTCTTGTGGAGCTTAATGCTGCTAAAGAAAAAAAAAATTTTCTCCAGCACAGAGCATGCAGCATTCTCCTTGGCAAGTTTCCCAAGTTTTGGCAAGACCTAGGCATCCCAGTGATTGACAGCTGGGAGAATCTTCGTGACTGGCAGGAGACAGCATGCCCTCCAGCAGGACTGTTTGCCTGCTGACACTAAAATCATGCCAGTTTCTCTCTCCTACTTCTTTATCCAAAATCTTTTACTAGTAAACATATCCCGCTGTTCTACCTGAACCATTAAATACATTACAGGCTTGCATTCCCACAAAGAAAAGAACAGTATGTTAGCAAACAACAGGTTTCAACATGAGCACCGCAGAAACTCAACCACAGTAACATGTCAGAAAGCCAGGTCAAATTCTCCACGTGAAACAGTTCAATCTTTTATTCCTTCTTTCTGAAGAGGTGCAGAATGTCCTACATCGCCCTCCACCACCATTATTCTCTTCTTTCTCCAGTCTTTCCTTATAGAAGATGGATCTTAGACATAGTGGATGGTCAAGAGAGAAAGATCTAAAACGTCCTTCTAAATTTGATTCTTTTTCCAGATAAGAACACAAAATTTTGAATATGAGACCTGCTCAGCCCCTCCATTCTCTATTTTCTAAAGTAAAGTTATTTGGAAGATAAGGAGAAACTCCACTCCACTCCAGCCACACTGGCCTTTTCCTGCCTCAAACATTCTAAAGTCATTTCTGTGTCTGCAACAGCTATGTTTCTGATGCATGTTCTCATCCCAAACCTTCACATGGCAATCCGTCAATTATTTAATACATTCTAAACTCATTAATAAATAATAAAATAGGATAAAATATGCAGTAAGCAAAACAAATTATGGTAGAAGTTCTGTTTCATGGAAAATAAAACAATCCTTCCTCTTTTTCCCAGACAAGAAAGGGTTAGGTATCTTCAATTTTTTTTTTTTTAAGATGGGGTCTCACTGTGTCACCCAGGCTGGAGTGCAATGGCATGATCATAGCTCACTGCCACTTTGAATTACCGGGCTCAAACAATCCTCCCGCCTCTGCCTCCCAAAGGGCTGAAATTACAGGTATGAGCAACCATGCCTGGCTTGATATTTAATTGAACAAATTTCTACATCTCTCTATATCTTCTCTGCAGCTAAAGAGAGTGACCATTTTAAAGGGTGAGTGGCTCATCAGCAGATCTGTTTCTATTTCTAAACTGATCTAATAGGACAAAATATCAGAGGAATGCAGGAAAAAACTGAAGTAAGTGAACTAATATGGCTGGCAACTAACATGGCTAACATTTACATGTTAGTTTACTTGGTTAATTTAGATCATCACTTCCAGTAATGTGAAGTAGTATCTCCAACTTAAAAGCAGTTAGGAATGTTTCTCTTTCGCAATGGGGAGCTAGATTACACAATCTCTTATAACTAACATTTGACCTTAAGAGATGGGGATGAAGGAGAAGGAAGAGATTATGCAATCTGACGAGTAAATAGCCTGCAACTTACATGGGTGAATAAATGGGGAAGGGGATAATACTTGGGGTGTTCACCCCCTAAACCACTTGCAGTACTTGGCATGCTGAATACCACCACAGACCATCCTCCTTTTGCCCCTTTCATTACCCTTAGGAAAAGAAAATTCTCTTGACCTTGAAAAATGTAAGTGTAAAGTAAGGGGCTGGATCCTGGGCTAGATCTATGGGTGGTGAGGGGGATTTCACAACAGAAGAGTAAAACTTTAATGATGGAGATAAGAAAAATATGTCTCTCTCAAAAGAGACACAGTGACAAGACCAGGGTGGGCATTCCAGAACACTCAAACATAAAAATGTTTACATTCTAGAGTGCATTTTGGGCACTAGGAATCAAATATTTGGTGTGTATTTCAAAATATTTCCCTTCTAGTTTAAAATTTCCCTTAAGTCCCATTAGGTGACATCTGATGCATACTTCCTAGAACTTTCAGCCATAGAACTATAGAAAATGAAAGCACCAAGCAACAAAGGGGTGAATGGCCTACCCCACATATACCTGTCAGCTGGCCTTGAATGCAGAAAATGGCATGAACTGAAGGGTCTTTGTCAAGCAGTTCCATTTGGTGGACATCAGTGAAGTGAGTGAGGGTTCACGGTGAAGCAGGCACAAAGCGAAAGGCCACATCATGTTTGGGAGCAGTTGCATGCTGGACATGACAAGGGCAGCTATAAGACAACCCCTCCTGTTTTTCTAGTGTGATAGAAGGAGGTGATCTTCAATGACAGAGAAAACAACTGACACACAGGCTACACGTGTTACAAATCACATGCTTCAGTCTGAGATGCCTATGAAACATCAGCAACAATATAAATATGACTCAAAGTTTCCCTACATTGCAAAATAAATGAGTTAATGATGTTGGGCTTAAGGGTACTATGTCATGAAATGTACTAATTGCTGAAATGTATACTAAATCTTGTGGTATTAAATCATTTTTAGGAAAAACAATGTTAGCTTATTAATTGTTTATAATGGGATGCTAATAAAATCTCTTGGTTTCCACACAATAGCAGTTTTAAATGGAGACTTTTAAAAAAATGAACAAAAAGTGACTAATAAGTAAGGTCACTGAACCAATTAATAAAAACCCACATTTAACAAACAGATTTACTAGGAGGTAAACATATTTTTCATAAAATGACTCAATAGTGTATTCATTTAAGAGATCAAGATCTGGCTGGTCACAGTAGCTCAGCCTGTAATCTCAACAATTTGGGAGGCCAAAGTGGGTGGATCACGAGGTCAGGAGTTCGAGACCAGCCTGACCACAATGGTGAAACTCTGTCTCTACTAAAGATACAAACATTGGCTGGGCACAGTGGCTCATGCCTATAATCCCAGCACTTTGGGAGGCCGAGGTGGGCAGATCACGAGGTCAGGAGTTCGAGACCAGCCTGACCAAAATGGTGAAACTCCATCTCTACTAAAGATACAAACATTGACTGGGTGCAGTGGCTCACGCCTATAATCCCAGCACTTTGGGAGGCTGAGGTGGGTGGATCACGAGGTCAGGAGATCGAGACCATCCTGGCTAACACAGTGAAACCCCATCTCTGCTAAAAATACAAAAAATTTGCCAGGCATGGTGGCGGGCACCTGTAGTCCCAGCTACTCGGGAGGCTGAGTCAGGAGAATGGCGTGGACCCAGGAGACAGAGCTTGCAGTGAGCTGAGATCTTGCCACTGCACTCCAGCCTGGGCAACAGAGCAAGACCCCATCTCAAAAAAAAACAAAACATTAGACGGGCGTGGTGGCACGCCCAGCTGAGTAGTAGTCCCAGCTACTCAGGAGGCTGAGGCAGAAGAATCCTTGAACCCAGGAGGCAGAGGTTGCAATGAGCCGAGATCACGCCACTGCACTCCAGCCTGGGGGACACAGAGCGAGACTCTGTCTCCAAAAAAAAAAAAGGTCAAGATCTATAAAATATACATAAGTTGCCAAAAACTGACACATTTAACTTTTCTAAAATATGAATTGCCAAAGCGTGTGCATTTGCTCTCAGGAACACTGAGATCATTTCCCTGGTTCCACGTACTCCTGTCCTCAGGTGACCTCATGCTGTCCTTTGCCTGAACTACCTAAAACACTACAAGTATCCTGCTATTCTTTGCCCAACAAAACTTTGTTGCTCTTTCTTATTAAACAGGTCAAATTTATCTCCCTAATATTTATGCCCTGCTCTCTCTCTATATATATATTTCTAGTTATATATTGTTGCATAGCAAATCATCTCAAAACCAAGTGACTTCAAACAATCTTATTATTATTTCTCACAGTTTCTGAGGGACATGAATCTGGAAGGTGCTTAGCTGGGTAGTCCTGGCATGGGACCTTCCATGAGGCTGCAGTCAGAGGGAGGCTGGAGTTGGAACGGTGGAACTGTGATAGCTGGGGGCGAGTGAGGCATCCCTGTCCCTCCATGCTGTAGCAGAGCTTCTCCATGTGGTCCTTCTACCTGTGCTGATTTGCGCTTCCTCTCAGCTTCATAGGCTTGGTACAGTCAGATGGCTTCAGGGCTGCTAAGGGCTCCAGTGTGATTGTTCCAGAGAAGCAAGGGGAAGCCAGGTGGCCTTTGATAACCTACGCTTGAAAGTAACATAGTGTTACTTTCACTGTACACTTTTGGTAAACCAGTCACTAAGGCTGGTCCATAATTGAAAGCAGATATAGACCTTAGCTCTTGATGGGAAGAGCACCAGTGTCACATTATACCTCTACAGGAGCAGGAGGAATTGGGGATATTGGTGTGGCCATCTTGGAAAATTCCAGGTGCTTCCCATAGTATGATTTTAACTTAATTATTCAACTTAAATCATATGGCTATTTGATTTCTATCTTATGTCCTCATTTCTCCCTTATTTCACCAAATATACCCTTTGATTTTTTGATTATTGTTTATTAAATAGCCACTTTCTCAGGGTAGGTGGAGTGTATATCCCTGCTCTGTTGATGTGATTAACTTGGCCAATTGAAAATTAAGAGATGTGATGCAAGCAGAGACTTTGCATGTGATATGTGGTTTGGCTTGGATTTTAAACTATAGTGCTCCCCCATGAGAAGAGCTCACCCTGGTACTGGATGCTCCTTTAACCTTAGTCCCAGAATGAATAAATATGGAGCTAATCTAAAATCATCCACAGCCTAGAGCCAATTTCAGATGATAATTGTTTGGATCAGAATCATGCAGTCAAGCCAAGCCCCGATCAGTCAAACCACAGTCAATAAATACCTGTGCTCATAAGCCACTGAGGTTTTGGCAGTATCCTATGTGGCATTATTTTGGCAGTAGATGACTGATACATATCCCTTTGCTTCAGTTAGGCTCTTTTCTTTATTATATCTTCTAACTTTCCATGCATAGTCTGACCTTTGTTCTGAGTATTGCAGAGTCTTGGAATGCTAGTCTCTGTTCTCATCTGCTTTCAATTTTCAAGGCCCGCCATATTTTCTTTCTTTGTAAGAACTCAGGCCAGCTTGCTAAGTGATGAGAGACTATGGGGAGAAACAAAGCATTCTAGACCAACTGACCACCAGTTGATCTCAAGCATGCAGAACATAAATGAGATCCGCAGTAGCATCTATCCACCCACAGTGGACTACAGATGCTTGAATGGACTCAGCCTACTACAGACTTAGGAGCAATAATAAATGATTGCTGTTTCAAGCCACCATGTTTTACAGTGGTTTGTTACCCAGCAAAAGCTAACCGATACATGAGTGTTAATAAATACTACTCAAATATATTGAAACACAGGCTCATATTACTTTCTATGGTATATGTTTGAATTCATTAACAATGTGAAAACATTTAAAGATGTATACTGTTTGCACAAATTACAATAACATTGTGCTAAATAAGAAACACGCTATGCTTGGAATTTTGTTTAAAAATAATGAGAAACTTGATGCTTGCCCTGTTTTCTTTGTCTATATATTTAATTGATTACGTACTTTAGACTAGGGGCCCTATAGCATACTCACAATACAAGAGACAAACTTGAGTACAGGAAACTTCTTTCTCATCACTTTCCCCGTTTCCTCTCCCCTCACACACTGCTCTCTGTAGCAATACCCATCCTCTTGTACATTCTTGAATTTTTCATACTGTTTGAAACTTCAGCACATTTCATGCTGTTTTCTTTGCCTGGACCTTGTTTCTATTTTTCTCTGCCTATATAATGCCTACTATGCTTAAAATCTCAGTTGAAACATTACCTTCTCCAGAGGGCCTTTCCTGCTTCAAATTTGCGTGTAATTCTAATTTTTAGTATACCCACTCTTCCCTGTAAATAATCCTGTATTAGTCTGACTATGGGAGAAACAGTAACATGTACTAGTCACTGAGAGACAAAATACATCGTATAGGCAACTTCTTCCATTTGTAAGGTAATTTTGTATGTCTTCTGGGAAAGTCTTGGGTGTGAACAAGCAATCTAACAAGTCTGCAAGATCAAATGCAAAGGTGTGGCTGAGACACAGAGTAAAACTGGTTCTGTTATTTCAGTAATAGAACCACAGGGTTTGCAGACATCACCCAGTATGTCTGATTCGCACCTCATTATCAGTTGTGGATCCTGAGGTTTTACGTGCCTGCATGGTAGCTGATAGCTCCTGGAAATTATCAGCTGCCCTTGAACTTCACACACATACAAATAATCAGCAGCTTCACTAACTTGATTCAGTGAGCAAATGACTGAAGACGGCCTGCAGCAAACGAGTGAGCACGTGCGCACACACACACATACACACACATATGTGTATATACACAGTGAATATACCTCTACGAGCAGTTGTTCTAGAGTTCTTAACACCAACATTTTGGGGAAACAGTCAACACTGGGGTAACAGTACTCTTTGATTATTCTACAAAAGTACTGATTTAGTCCTTTTGACCAAATGTATTGTATTAATAGTATCCCTTTCACTCTCAAAAGTGCCCTAGTTTAGATACTCAATTGTATTGTCACTACAATTATGCTTTTGATGAAAAATGGATCTTTCTGTATAACACTAGCAGTTCTTCTTCTCCTTCTCCTTCCTCTTCTTTGTTTTCGTTTTTGAGATGGAGTCTGCTTTTGTCATCCAGGCTGGAGTGCAATGGTACAATCTCGGCTGACTACAACCTCCACCTCCCGGGTTCAAGTGATTCTCCTGCCTAAGCCTCCCAAGTAGCTGGGATTACAGGTGCTGGCCACCATGCAAGGCTAACTTTTTTGTATTTTTAGTAGAGATGGAGTTTCACCATATTGGCCAGGCTGGTTTCAAACTCCTGACCTCAGGTGATCTGCCCGCCTCGGCCTTCCAAAGTGCTGGGATTACAGGTGTGAGCCACTGCACCTGGCCTAGCAGTTCTTTTAAATGTAATATTAGCCAGTCCTTCAAATAATAATGGGCACTTTTATGTTTTTACTGTTTTACTACTATTTTTATTGCACTCAATTTATATACAATAATATGTACTAATTTTAAGTACACAGATTGTTGAATTTTGATAATTGTGTTCATATATATGTATACCACTTTAAGATAAAAACAATTTTATTACTCTCTAAAGTTTCTGCATGCTACTTTCCAGTGTATTGCCTGATTCTTCCAGAAAAGGATGTATTTGGTTTCTGTCATCATTATTTCGTTTATCTGTGCTACAAATTCATAAACGTGGATTTATTTTTTACTTCAGGTAATGTTTCAGCATTCATAACCACTATTGACTATTGTGTATATCAACAGTTTGTACCCTTTCATTACTGAGTACACATATTGCATAATTCATTAACCCATTCAACTAAGGATATCTGTTGGGTTGTATTCAGTTTGTGTTATTATAAAATAAAGCTGGTGTGAAGATTTTTGTACATGTCTTTTTGTAGCCAAAGTTTTAATTTTTCTTGGGTAAGAAGCCAGGAGTAAAACTGCTGTGTCATAAGGTAGGCGTAGGAATAAATTTATTAAAACACTTCCCAACTCTTCCATCTGGTGGTACCATTCTACACTCCTAGCCTTAATGTATGGGATTCCCAATCGTTCCACATTTTCACCAACACTTGGTCTTTACAGTCTATTTCTTTTTAGCCGTTACAGCAAGTGAAACTAGTGACAATACTCTTTTGAATATGAATCACAGTCAAAAGTATTTTCTGAAAATACAACTTACCATAATCACTGAAAAGATATTTTGATAAATCCAACTAACTACAAAATAAAGAAAACGATTTTAAGTTTTCTAATTTATTTTAATGCTTTAGAATATATTTTAAAGGCATTACATACCAACATTTTAAAAAAGAAAAGGATTGCAGAACATACATATATTTTGGCTGTAGTTTTCCCTTAATTAAAATTATTGCCTTGCTTTTATTTTAGAGATTATCATAATCTACAGTTCATATTAGTTCAATACTCAATCATTTCAAAGGGGATTTGAGGCTTTTTTCATAGTCAAGTTGAAAAATATGGCACTGATCTTAAAATTCTAAAGTCTGAAGTATTTCGTAACTAGGTCAGAAAAATTATATTTTTCTTAGTTAATTAGCACACTTTAGAGTAACATGATTCTTAACGCTTATTCAGAGAAAATAGGAAATCAGAAAATCTGAGGCCAAAACACATGCTAATTGTGTTAAATCGTTATGTGATCACAGATTATTAAAATCTTTTTATTTAAAAATGAGTTATAGTAGATAAAGACAGCTGAGTAGCAGTTTCTGCCTGAATGTATTCATTTTTATTTTTAGACATCTGGTTATAATTTTAAGGAACACTTTAAGTAAAGAATATTTAAAAACAAGTCTTTATACAGTGTTAGACTACGAAAGAATTATTTAATTCAAGATAGAATTCAGTGTTTGTACTTGCCACCCACGTAGTCAGGAAGAAAATGCATAAAGGTAATTTACCTTTCTGTAATCAGTTCAATGCCTTAGGGTGCACTGTGGAGCAACACAAATTATTCAGTGAAAATCTTTTATAGCTATGGCTGATTATTATCCAAAGATGAGTCCCTATAGTATAACTATGGCAAAAAATATTCAAGTTTAGCATCAACCATCAATCACCATATTAGCAGAAATCCATTATCCTGTCAGTCTAAGAGTTTTGGATAAAATCCATTTGATGATTCTTGATGAATAATAACTTCTTTGCTAAGAAAGCAATTAGAAACACAATGTTATATCAAATAGAAAATAAATTTAATGTTTTCTTATCAAAGCCACTTTACAATCCTGTTGTCTTCCAAATTTGTTATATAAATATTAGCATAGCACTCACCTAGTTTTACTATCTAAAATAGATATTATTTACAAATTCCATACTTATTGGCAAAAATATAAATACATAATGATATGTAAAATTCTTATTACTTTAATTTTATCAGACAAAGGTGACTATGCATTACCTTATGGGTAGCCACACAGACGTACATATGCTGATTCACTATGCGTTATATAAAAGCTAAATTCCTTAAAGTTCAGACATTGCGAAAAAAACTATAGTGGCATCCATGCTTAAGAAAGAAGAGAAAATAATAATAAGAAGGTCTTAAAGTACTTTGATAACAAAAGACATAAAATTAATAAAGCAAGGTAACCGTATGTTGTGCCCCTGTGAAATAGCAACTAAACTCAAAGAAGTCACCTGCTGCCGGACGCAGCCATGGAAAAAAATCTCGTTCGCTCTGTGACTTCTACTCACCCCATGTCCTTTTCTTGAACTCAGCCAAGCCATGGTCTCTGTCTTGGAAGGGTTGTGGGATGAATCTCCTTGATCTCTGCCCACTTTCCTTTTTTCTCCACAACTCAGTAATCTCAATCTTTCTATCAAGCTACTACTATACTTACTTTGTTTCTTTTGTTTAAGGTAAAGTTCAAAATGTATTGAAGTGTGTACATATTCATTAGAAAGTTATTATTAGCTTTACTAGTATTTTTATTAGGAGTATTTGTCTTAGTAAATTAGTTACAAAGCTGCACATGATTTTAGTGGCCCTCCTATGACCCTATGTTCAGCATAATCCTCTTTAATTTTTAATCCAATGATTCTGCAGAATATAAGCATTGTTTTTTTTTTTCAGAAACACACATATTGTGTTACAAGATATGTCCACAAGGCACACACATATAATCATTTGCTAGGTACTTCTGCCATCCTCTAACTTAAAAGAGCAAAGTGGCCTATATCTAAGTATTTCTATCCTGATCTACCTCCTTCAAGTGTTTGCACACACATGCACACATCCATACACACACACACAGACACACACACACACACACACACACACAAGCTATTTTCTACCAATGAGCATAATAACATAAAATCTCTGAATGCCATAAGGCATATTAAGAGGATTTGTTCATAAATTTAGCACTGTGGTAAGCATTTATATAAGTAGATTAGAGCATATTTACAACTCCAGGAGCTTGCATCCACAGGGCAGGCACAAATAATACTCACAAAACTGTTCAAAGCATTTACATAAGGCAGTGGAATTTTTGTCACAACAGTTGCCTCATCTAGGAAATATCACAAGAGTTCAGAGGAGGGGAGATCACTGGGGGTCCAAGTACATGCTCATATCAAGTCAAATCTAATCTAGAGTGACTAAAGAAACTGGAAGAAATAGGAATATATGTCATCTTCCTGAGCATCAATTTTACTCAATGGTAATTTAAAACTTTAATATCTTTGTGAAATATGGCTATGTGTGGAAGTCAGGTTTCAAATATGTAGGATAATTTAGAAAAGCTTCATGTGTGGCAGAACACTTCAGTCTTGGCCGGACCACTCTTTCCACCCTCTTCCTCCAATGTATGGCTCGTCTCTTATTCTATTTTTTGATTAGAAAAAAATGATAAACAGAAAATTAACAAGTTCATACCAAATGTCCACATACAAACTATCCATGTTGAATATTTTGCCTTATCTCTTTTAAATCACTTTAGAGAAAATGTAACATAAGGAATTAATGCCTCCTTTGTAATCCACAACCATTTCAAACCCAAACCTTCCTTTCTCCACAGAGAAAATGCATCTTCCTAAAAATACCATATATAATTTCTGTCAATGTTTGCATGCTGTTAACTATAAATACAATATACATATAAAACTATAACATAGAGATATTTTTAAATAATGCATATTCCTGTTTTGATATTTTACAAGGTTTTTTAAAAGAGATCATTTTATATAACATTGTGCAACTAGTTTTTTTTCATTTGTTATATATTCTGAAGAATTATATAACCTGATATATCGATTACTAGATTATGCATTATAATAGCTAAAAAAATATTCCATTTTATGATACACCAAAACAACTTTATCTCTCCTGCCTTTGATAGACATGTTTCTCTACTACAAGCAATGCTACTAAAATATTTTTCTTGAGAGGAGAAGAAAATGGATAGGAGACAGGACTAACGTGCAGCTCCCACTTTGACAGACAGAACTGTGTGTGGAGACTCACATTTTGAGCTTTTGCTCCAAGAATGTATTAGTTTGTTTAAATGGTGCTGATAAAAACGTACACCAGACTGATCAATTTATAAAAGAAAGATTTAACTGGACTTACAGTTCCACGTGGCAGGGGAAGCCTCATAATCATAGCAGAAAGCCAGGAAGAGCAAGTCACATCTTAACATGGATGGCAGTAAACAAATATGAGAGAGCTTGTGCAGAGGAATCCTTCTTTTTAAAATTATCAGATCCCATAAGACTTATTCACTATCACAAGAACAGCACAGGAAACACTTGCCCCCATGATTCAATTACCTTCCACCAGGTGCCCCCTAACAACACGTGAGAATTCAACATGAGATTTGGGTAGGGACACAGCCAAACGATATAATTCCACCCCTAGCCCCACCCAAATATCATGTCATCACCTTTCAAAAGCAATCATGCTTTCCCAACAGTCCTCCAAAGTCTTAACTAATTTCAGCATTAACTCAAAAGTCCACAGTCCAAAGTCTCATCTGAGACAAGGCAAAACATTTCTGCCTATGAGCCTTTAAAATCAAAAGCAACTTAGTTACTTCCTAGATGCAATGAGGGTACAGACACTGGGTTAATACAGTCATTCCAAATGGGAAAAATTGACCAAAACAAAGGAGCTACAGGCCCCAGGTATGCCTGAAATCCAGTGGGGCAGTCAAATCTTTCTTTCTTTTCTTTTTTTTTTTTTTTTTTTAAGACAGAGTCTCACTCTGTCTCCCAGGCTGGAGTGCAGTGGCATGATCTCTGCTCATTGCAAGCTCTGCCCCCTGGGTTCATGCCATTCTCCTGCCTCAGCCTCCTGAGTAGCTGGGACTACAGGCGCCCACCACTACACCCGGCTAATTTTTTTTTTTTTTTGTATATTTAGTAGAGACAGGGTTTCACCATGTTATCCAGGATGGTCTCGATCTCCTGACCTCATGATCCACCCACCTCAGCCTCCCAAAGTGCTGGGATTACAGGTGTGAGCCACTGCACCTGGCGGGGAGTCAAATCTTAAAGCTCCAAAATGATCTCCTTTGACTCCATGTCTCACATTCAGGTCACGCTGATGCAACAGGTAGATTCCCATAGTCTTGGGATGCTCCACCCCTGTGGCTTTGCAGGGTAAAGACTCCCTCCTGGCTGCCTTCACAGGCTGGCATTGAGTGTCTTTTGCTTTTCCAGGCACATGATGCAAGCTGTCAGTGGATCTACCACTCTGAGGTCTGGAGGATGGTGGTCCTCTTCCTCACAGCTCCACTAGGCAGTGCCCCAATAGGGACTCTGTGTGGGGGTTCCCACCTCACATTTCCCTTCTGCACTGCCCTGGCAGAGGTTCTCCATGAGGACCCTGCCCCTACAGCAAACTTCTGCCTGGGCATCCAGGCTTTTCCATACATCTTCTGAAATCTAGGTGGTGGTTCCCAAACCTCAATTCTTGACTTCTGTGCACCTGCACGCTCAACACCATGTGGAAGCTGCCAAGGCTTGAGGCTTGCACCCTCTGAAGCCACAGCCCAAGCTGTACCTTGGCCCCTTTTAGGCACAGGTGGAGTGGCTGGGATACAGGGTACCAAGTCCCTAGACTGTACACACCATGAGGACCCTGGGCCTGGCCCACAAAACTATTTTTTCCTCCTAGGTCTCCAGGCCTCTCATGGGAGGGGCTGCCATGAAGACCTCTGACATGCCCTGGAGACATTTTCCTCACTGTCTTGGGGGTTAACATTTGGCTCCTCATTACTTATGCAGGTTTCTGTAGCTAGCTTGAATTTCTCCTCAGAAAATGGGATTCTCTTTTCTATCACATTGTCAGGCTGCAAGTTTTTTGAACTTTTATGCTCTGCTTCCCTTATAAAACTGAATGCCTTTAACGGCACCCAAGTCACCTCTTGAATGCTTTGCTACTTAGAAATTTCTTCTGCCAGATACCCAAAATCATCTCTCTCAAGTTCAAAGTTCCGCAAACCTCTAGGGCAGGGGCAAAATGCCACCAGTCTCTTTGCTAAAACATAACAAGAGTCATCTTTGCTCTAGCTCCCGACAAGTTCCTCATCTCCATCAGAGACAACCTCTCCCTGGATTTCATTGTTCATATCATTATCAGCATTTTGCTCAAAGTGATTCAACAAATCTCTAAGATGTTCCAAACTTTCCCACATTTTCCTGTCTTCTGAGCCCTCCAAACTGTTTCATCCTCTGCCTGTTACCCAGTTCCAAAGTCGCTTCCACATTTTCAGGTATCTTTTAGCAGCACCACATTCTACTTGTTCCAATTTACTGTATTAGTTTGTTTTCATGGTGCTGATAAAGATATACCCAAGACTGAGCAATTTACAAAGGAAAGAAGTTTAATTGGACTTACAGTTTCACATGGCTGAGAAGGCCTCACAATCATGGCAGAAGGCAAGGAGAAGCAAGTCACATCTTATGTGGATGGTGACAGACCAAAAATAAGAGAGCTTGTGCAGGGGAACACCTCTTTTTAAAACCATCAGATCTTGTGAGACTTATTCACTCTCACGAGAACAGCACGGGAAAGAGCTGCCCCCATGATCCAATTACCTCCCACCGGGTCCCTCCCACAACACATGGAAATTCAAGATGAGATTTGGTTGGGGACACAGCCAAACCATATCAAAGAACCACTTCAGGAACATACCAGGGAAACAGAAAGAGTTCAGAGGCTTTGAAAGAAATGGTGTGTCGCTGCAAACTCCATGAAGAGCCAAAAAACTGTGAGTTCCCAAAGTGTGAGAGGAGGGAACGTCTGCCTCTGAACATACATCCCTGCTGAGTATTCTGAAAAATCCAGATAGTGGGAGAAAGATTTAGCCTTACCTAGAGTTGAAATGGATTTAGGGAGCTAAGAGAAATACAAAAGTAGAAGAAACAGTGTGGGCCAGGCATGGTGGCTCACACCTGTAATCCCAGCATTTTGGGAGGCTGAGGTGGGTCAATCACCTGAGGTCAGGAGTTTGAAACCAGCCTGGCCAACATGGCAAAACCCAGTATCTACTAAAAGTACAAAATTAGCCGGGCATGGTGGTGGGTGCCTGTAACCTCAACTACTCAGGAGGCTGAGGCACGAGAATCACTTGAACCCAGGAGGCAGAGGTTGCAGTGAGCTGAGATCATGCCACTGCACTCCAGCCTGGGTGACAGAGCAAGATTCTGAAAAAAATAAAATAAAAAATTAAAAAAAAAAAAAGAAAGAAGGAAAGAAAGAAAGGGGGAGAGAGGGAGAGAGAGAGAGAGAAAGAAAGAAAGAAAGAAAGAAAGAAAGAAAGAAAGAAAGAAAGAAAGAAAGAGAGAGAGAGAAAGAGAGAAAGAAAAGGAAGGAAGGAAGGAAAGAAGGAAGGGAGGAAGGGAGGGAGGGAGGAAGAGAGAGAGAAAGAGAGAAGAGCCCTGTAGGCATTCCTTGTCCCCAGCTCAAATCCAGGGAAGCCATCCCTGAGTTTATCTCACAGGGGTCCTTGGTGAAGGCAGCCCACAGAATTAGAGAGGGGCTACAGGGTGAAAGAAGCTTCTAGCTGAACTTTGTAATAACTCTGACTGAGCATAATTTTTCCTGCGTAGAATCTAGGGGTGAACAG